>NC_000002.12:26604369-26757120 GCF_000001405.40 Homo sapiens | reverse complement strand
TTGCAGTGAGCTGAGATCGCACCACTGCACTCCAGCCTGGGCAATAGGGCGAGACTTGGTCTCAAAAAAAAAAAAGTTAATCTGTAATGAAGATCAACAGTGAAGCAAGGGGGTCTTCCTTGGCACCCTTCAGTCATTTACATTTTACAAAACAATGTAGGTAAGGAAAAAAGCTAATCTAATCGGAGAAACAGAGGTTACAGCTGCCTGTCATGTGACCCAGGCCTCATAATCATATTCCCTTAAGGCTCAATATATGTTAAAGTTCCAACAGCGTAGTAAATTTTGAATTACTAATTTTCACACATCAGATTATTATTTGATGGAATTTAGGGATAGAACTTAACCTGTACGTTGGATAAAAATTTGCCTCATATTTTTGTAAGCCCTGATTTCCTGGGTAAAATACTATATCTGCAAACCAGCACAAATGTTAACACTTGGCCTGTATCTCCACCCTTCTGCATTCCTGGTATCTTTGAGGACACAGCCCAGAGAAACCAACTGGTGGCTGCGGCCTGCAGTCAGTGAAGACAAGGGCTAGGGTGAGGTGGGACACGGTTCTCCTTCCTTTTCTGAGTCTTTAGAAAGTGAAACGTCAGTCAGCCTTGGTTGTATGGTGACCTCAGCCATCAGAAGAACAATTGTCTCCTGATTGCTCACTTTTTTTTTTTTTTTTTTGAGAGGAAGTCTTTCTCTGTTGCCCAGGCTGGAGTGCAGTGGGGCAATCTCGGCTCACTGCAACCTCCACCTCTCGGGTTCAAGCAATTCTCCTGCCTCAGCCTCCTGAGTAGCTGGGATTACAGTCACCCGCCACCAGCTAATTTTTGTATTTTTAGTAGAGACGGGGTTTCACCATGTTGGCCAGGCTGGTCTTGAACTCCTGACCTCAGGTGATCCACCCACCTCAGTCTCCCAAAGTGCTGGGATTACAGGCGTGAGCCACCACACCCAGACGATTGCTCACATTTGATCTGTTAAAGCTGATAAAAGACAACAGCTTATGTAAAGTTACAGATCATGAAAGGGAGCGAATTCAGCAAATTTTTAGCAAAGGAAGGAATTTTACTGTTAAGTGCGCACCTGCCACAGAATCCTCAAGTGTGAATGGGGTGGTGGGAGGACATAGGAGTTTCTTCATGTATCCCTAAGAATGCAGAATCTTCAGACATGCAAGGACACCTACGCAAGTTGTCCCTAACTAGGGAAAAGCGAGAGGAGGGCTCTGGCTGGGTTTGCCACTTTAAGCAAGGTGACAATGTTTGGGTCACTGAAGCACTCAGAGCCCCACTTTCCTATCTGTAAAATGGAAATGACATTCATAGCTTGTGTAGAGAGAGGACAGATGTGGAAGTGCAGTGCAAGCCCTGCTGGGGAGAATTACTACAGCTGCTGTAAGACCAGAGCCCACAAGATAGGGGGTATGGAGAAAGCCCTTAGCCCGCTGTGCCTTCAAAAGCACTCCTCATGGTTTGCATACGAGTTTGATCCAGACTTCCAGCCTTTTCTCCCAAAGTTGGGGACATTTTGAACACATTTGCATGCTACCTGCAAGCAGGCTCTAACTTCCAGTCACTGCAAACCCTGCATTTGTATTCAATGCTTACTGCCAGCATGTGGCTTGTCTGAAAGACTGAATGCTTTCCCAATCAATGTAATTACATTCTGGATTAAGAGAGAGTTGCTTTACCCTGGAAAGGACAGAAAGATGCGGGCAGACAAGCCAGGTCACACCTGCTTTTGTTTTTTCTTTAAACAAGCTTTTGCTGTGTATCCTTGGGCCATTTCTCTCCAGTGTAGTCTACTCCCTGGCTAGAATGTGACTTCCTCCTGGGCAAGGACTGGGTATCTTGCTGCCTGTCTCTCCCAGCGGGGTTGGTATTGATGGGCAGTCACCTGGAACTGTGGCTAGAAAGAGGAACAAGAGGCTTGAGAGGAAGAGGACTGGGGTGGATTCCGGCTGGAAGCAGGTCTGACAAGACTAGATCTTGGAGGAAGGGAGTGTGGACTGTCTACACTGGCAGAGAGGCATAGATATTGGAGCTCATCAGCTCATTCTGGCTGAATTTACAGCTGGTTTCTATGGTGACCAGAGATGATCAGATTATAACTCACCTGCTCCTTCTAGCTGCAGGCCCTCCTAAAGTCATTCTCAAACCTTCTCTTTTTTCTTTCTTTTTTAATTTAATTTTTTTTTTTAGATGGAGTCTTTCTCTATCACCCAGGCTGGAGTACAGTGGCACAATCTCGACTTACTGCAACCTCCACCTCCTGGGTTCAAGCAATTCTCCTGCCTTAGCCTCCCAAGTAGCTGGGATTACACGCGTGCACCACCAAGCCTGGCTAACTTTTGGATTTGTAGTAAAGACAGGGTTTCATCATCATGTTGGCCATGCTGGTCTCAAACTCCTGACCTCAAGGTCTTGGCCTCTCAAAGTGCTAGGATTACAGGCATGAGCCACTACATCTGGCCTCTGTTTTCTTTCTTATCATCTCCTTTGGTCTCTACCCACCTCCCCGCTCCCACCTCTCACCCCCATCAGTGCTGATCACTAATCTTTTTTTTTTTGAAACAAGGTCTCACTCTGTTACCCAGATTGGAGTGCAGTGATACGAACTCGGCTCACTACAACCTCTGCCTCCCAGGTTCAAGCAATTATCCTGCCTCAGCCTCCCGAGTAGCTGGGACTACAGGTGACTGCCACCATGCCTGGCTAATTTTTGTCTTTTTAGTAGAGATGCAGTTTCACCATGTTGGCTAGGCTGGTCTCGAACTCCTGACCTCAGGTGATCTACCCGCTTCGGCCCCCTGAAGTGTTGGGATTACAGGTGTGAGCCACCACGACCAGCCCTGATCACTAATTTTGAGGTGGTCATTAGATTCTGGAAGCTTGGTCCTCTAAGAGCAGGATCAAGTCAGATTCAGATAAAACAGAAACTCCCAGGTAAATTTGATTTCAGATAAGCAATGAGTCACTTTGTAGTATGAGTATGTCCCTAGTGTTTAGGACATACTTATGAAGCTGTCCTCACAGGCTTAACAAGAATCTTGGACAGAAATATAGTTATAATTAAGCATAATGAGGCTGCACTTTCACCCACTTCCTTGTAACAGAAAGTCGCATAGCACTAGATACTGACCACTTGAATCCCCATTGTTCCTTTAGATTGGATCTCTGACATTAGAATCATAAGGCTTGGCTGGGCCTGTGATCCCAGCATTTTGGGAGGCTGAGGCAGGTGGATCGTTTGAACTCAGTGACCAACCTGGCCAACGTGACAAAACCCCGTCTCTACAAAAAATACAAAAAATAGCCAGGTGTGGTGGATTTGTGCCTATAGTCCTAGCTATTCGGGAGGCTAAGGTAGGAGCATCACCTGAGCCTGGGGAGGTTGAAGCTATAGTGAGCCATGATTGTGCCACTGCACTCCAGCCTGGGCAACAGAGTGAGACCATCTCAAAAAAAAAAAAAAAAAGAATCATAAGGGTTTTGTTTAAGAATTGCTTAAGATGTTTTTCAGGTCCCTGAATTCCAGTGAAACAGCTGATGCCAACCAGTTTGAAGACCTCCACAGAGGAATGAAAGCAACATAAGAATAGTTTCTTCATTTCCTTGTCCCATGACTTCATGCACTCTTTGCCTAATCAACGATCTCCCCACTTCAGCCCTCTCCAAAACCCTTAAAAACCCTAGCCCCAGGCCAGGCGAAGTGGCTTACACCTGAAATCCCAGCACTTTGGGAGGCCAAGGTGGGAGGATTGCTTGAGCCCAGGAGACCAGTCTAGGCAACAAAGTGAGACCCTGTCTCTATTAAAAAAAAAAAAATTTTAACCAGGCATGGGCACACGCCTGTGATACTAGCTGTATGGGAGGCTGAGGCAGAGGATTGTTTGAGCCCAGGAGGTCGAGCTCCAGCGAGCCATTTTTGCGCCACTGCACTCCAGCCTGGGTAACAGAGAGAGACCCTGTCTCAAAAAAAACAAAAAACAAACAACAAAAAACCCCCAGCCCCTGACTCCCTGGGGAGATAGATTTGAAGTTTCCTCCCTGTCTTCTCAGTGGACCTGTATTAAACCTCTTTCTCTGCTGCAACCCCGTGTCTGGGTGTATTGATTTGACAGGAGTGTCAGGCAATTAACCTATTACAGTTACGCTTAGAGTAAAAAATGATTCATTATTTGTCTAAAATTCAAATTAGATATGTATCCTGCATTTCATTTCTCAGTCTGGCACCCTGCTGGTCTGGCATCCAGCTCAGAGCCCTTGCTCAGAGACAGTGACTATGACAACAGCTAATTGAATTAGTGCATCTCAGGCACATTTTCCTTTCTAATATGCTGTTGACTAAGCTTACGATATTTTCTCCCTCTGACTCAGTTACATCTCTAAATTGATACCAGCCCCCTTGGACATGGCCTTCACCCTAGGGAAGCCTAGGTTCCTGTATTTAACACCATTCTCTTTTTTTAATTTTTTAAAAAATGTGTTATTTTTAAAAAAATAGAGACAGGGTGTTGCTATGTTGCCCAAGCTGGTCTTGAACTCCTGAGCTCAAATGATCCTTGTCCTTTGGCCTCACAAAGTGCTGGGATTACAGATGTGAGCCACTGCACCCAGCCCTGTATTTAACACACATCTAGAAAATTCGGAGCACAGACAGATTGAGAACACTTTCCTCTTTTGCATACAGTTTCAGGGTATTCCCAGGTCTCATGAAGCCCAGGCGTGGATTGCCCCTGACATAACTTCTTATCCAACCCCCCGCTTTTCAGAATAGAAAACCCAGGCCCAGAAAGAAGGTGACTTGCTCAGGTCAATAGCAAATGACTGTGAGCTAGTCAACTCCCTGTATTTATTTATTTGGCTTAGATTTATATGAACTAGTTTAAACCTGATAGTAATAAAAAAATTCACTGGCCCTACAAATGCTTAATTACATTTAAAGTAATACAACTTATGAACCAATGAACTGTAAAAAGATATTTTTGGCCAGGCGTGATGGCTCACGTCTGTAATCCTAGCACTTTGGGAGGCCGAGGCAGGAGGATCACTTGAGTCCAGGAGTTCCAAACCAGCCTGGGCAACGTGGTGAAACCCCATCTCTACAAAAGATAAAAAATTAGCTGGGCATGGTGGCACGTGCCTGTAGTCCCAGGCTGAGGTGGGAGGATCACCTGAGCCTGGAGAGGTTGAGGCTGCAGTGAGCCATGATCGTGCCACTGTACTCCAGCCTGGGCAGTAGAGTGAGACCCCCACCTCACAAAAAAAAAAAAGATTTTTTTGAACTTTTGGGAGAAAGTAAAAATGATCTATAGAACAAGTTCTCTCGCTAGTTTTATTGGTTGTATTAGCTTCCTGTTGCTGCTATAATTACCACAAACAGAGTGAGTGACTTCCAGCAACAGAAACTTATTATCATACAATTCTGGTGGGTAGAAGTCTGAAATTCAGTCACTGGACTAACATCAATGTATTGGCTGAACTGTGCTTCTTCTGGAGGCCCTAGGGGAGCATCCATTTCCCTGCCTTTTCCAGCTTCAAGAGGCCGCCTGCATTCCTTGGCTGCTGGCCCCACATCACTCTGACCTTTGCTTCTCTAGTCACATCTCCTCTGACTCTGACCCTCTTGCCTCCACAGAACCTTTGTGATTACATTGGCACTACCTGGGTTATCCCGAATACTCTGCCCATCTTAAGATCTATATCTGAAAAGTCCCTTTCATCACATTAGGCAACTTATTCCTGGGCTTTGGGAATTAAGGCGTGGGCATCTTCAGGAGGCCATCATTCTTCTTACCACAGTTGTGATGAGGTATCGTGATTACAGTTTTTGAAAAAAGTCCTTAGCTGTTAGAGAGTGAACTGATTATAGGTGAAATTATTTGCTTTAAAATCCTCTAGACCAGGCACAGAGCTCATGTCTGAAATCCTAGCACTTCAGGAGGCTTAGGTGGGAAGATCGCTTGAGTCCAGGAGTTCCAGACCAGCCTGGGCAACATGGCAAAACCCCATCTCTACAAAAGCAAAACAAAGATTAGCCGGGCATGGTGGCACGGATCTGTAGTCCCAGTTACTTGGGAGGCTGAGGTGGGAGAATCACCAGAGCCTGGGGAGGTTGAGGCCTCAGTTAAGCATGATCCTAGGTGACAGAGTGAGACCCTGGCACTCCAGCCTGGGCAACAAAGTGATAGCATGTCTCAAAAAAAAAAAAAAAAAAAAAAAGAAAGTAAGAATGAAAGAAGAAAATTGAAAGGATGGGTTGCCCCTCCACACCTGTGGGCGTTTCTCGTTAGGTGAAACGAGAGACTTAGAAAAGAAAGAGACACAGAGACAAAAAATGAGACAAAAAAATGAGAGACAAAAAAGAAAGAGACACAGAGAAAGAAAAATGGGCCCAGGAGACCGGCGCTCAGCATATGGAGGACCCGCGCCGGCCCCGGCCTCTGAGTTCCCTTAGTATTTATTGATCATTATTGGGCGTTTCCCAGAGAGGGGGACGTGGCAGGACAATAGGATAATAGTGGAGAGAAGGTCAGAAGGTAAACATGTGAACAAATGTCTCTGCATCATAAACAAGGTAAAGAAAAAAGTGCTGTGCTTTTGATGTGCATATACATAAACATCTCAATGCCTTAAAGAGCAGTATTGCTGCCAGCATGTCCCACCTCCAGCCCTAAGGCGGTTTTCCCCTATCTCAGTAGATGGAATATACAATCGGGCTTTACACTGAGATATTCCATTGCCCAGGGACGAGCAGGAGACAGATGCCTTCCTCTTATCTCAACTGCAAAGAGGCCTTCCTTCCTCTTTTACTAATCCTCCTCAGCACAGACCCTTTACGGGTGTGGGGCTGGGGGACGGTCAGGTCTTTCCCTTCCCACGAGGCCATATTTCAGACTATCACAAGGAGAGAAACCTTGGACAATACCTGGCTTTCCTAGGCAGAGGTCCCTGCGGCCTTCAGCAGTGTACCGTGTCTCTGGGTATTGGAAGTTAGGGAGTGGTGATGACTCTTAACAAGCATGCAGCCTTCAAGCATTTGTTTAACAAAGCACATCCTGCAGAGCCCTTAATCCATTTAACCCTGAGTTGACACAGCACATGTCTCAGGGAGCACAGGGTTGGGGGTAGGGTTACAGATTAACAGTATCTCAAGGCAGAAGAATTTTTCTTAGTACAGAACAAAATGGAGTCTCTTATGTCTACTTCTTTCTACGCAGACACAGTAACAATCTGATCTCTCTTTTCCCCACAAAAATAGAGAGGGGAAAAAAAGCCCTTAGAAGACATAAATGGCAGAAAGTTGATGATTGGTTTTTTTGTTGTTTTTCTGCCTTTTTTTTTTTTTTTTTTTAGATGTAGTCTTGCTCTGATGCCCAGGCTGGAGTGCAGTGGCGTGATCTAGTCTCACTGCAACCTCTACCTCCTGGGTTCAAGCAATTCTCCTGACTCAGCCTCCCAAGCAGCTGGGATTACAGGCGCGTGCCACCACACTCAGCTAATTTTGTATTTTCAGTAGAGACGGGGTTTCACCATGTTGGCCAGGCTGGTCTCAAACTCCCCACCTCAGATGATCTGCCTGCTTTGGCCTCCCAAAGTGCTGGGGTTACAGGCATGAGCCACCATGCCCGGCCAGTGATTGTTAAAGCTGAGCTATGTGTACATGGAGGCTCACTGTACTATGTCCTCCAATTTTTTGCATATTTGAAATTTTCCATTATATAAAGTTAAGCATTATAGATCTTTATGTTGTGGTACTGGTCCATGGACAGATGAGTAACCGTGAAAGAATAGGAAGTCCAGAAATGCACCCTAACACAAGCAGAAATTTAATAAATACAATACAAATGTGGCATTTCAAATCAGTGGGGATTGTTTAAATGTTATTGGGACAACTGGGTAGATATCTGTGAAAAATAAGCTTAGAGGCTGGGTGCGGTGGCTCATGCCTGTAATCCCAGCACTTTGGGAGGCCGAGGCAGGCAGATGGCCTGAGGTCAGGAGTTCAAGACCAGCCTGGACAACATAGTGAAACCCCATCTCTATTAAAATACAAAAATTAGCTGGGCATGGTGGCATGCGCCTGTAGTCCCAGCTATTCCAGTTCCTCGGGAGGCTGAGGCAGGAGAGATGCTTGAACCTGGGAGGCGGAGGTTGCAGTGAGCCGAGTTTGTGCCACTGCACTCCAGCTTGGGCGACAGAGCAAGACTCTGTCTCAAGGAAAAAAAAAAGTTTAGATTCCCACCTTTTACCTTACACCAAAATAAATTCCAGCTGGATAAAAGATGTGACTGGAATAAAAAAATTAAATTGTGAAATCTCTAGAAAGGAATGTGGAAGAGCCATTTTGAAGACATTATAATAGTTCTGGAGTAGGAAAGGTCTTCTGCGTGTGATAAAAAAAACTTGCATGGGGAAAAAAGCATAAATAAAAGATATATGACAATCTGTGAAAAATATTTGCAGTTCACACCACAGACACAGGTCGAATTTCCTTGACATATGAAGAAGTCTGTATGGCGTAGCCATACAATGGAACATCATGCAACAATAAAAAAGAATGAAGTACTGATACATGGTACAACATAGATGAAACTTTATTTATTTATTTATTTATTTATTTATTTGGAAATGGCGTCTTGCTCTGCTGCCCAGGATGGAATGCAGTGGCACGATTTTGGCTCACCGCAACCTCCACCTTCGGGTTCAAGCAGTTCTCTTCCCCTAGCCTCCTGAGTAGCTGGGACTACAGGCGCATGCTGCCATGCCCAGCTAATTTTTTGCATTTTAGTAGAGATGGGGTTTCACCGGGTTGCCCAGGCTGGTAACTCCTGAGCTCAGGCCCTGCCTGCCTCAACCTCCCAAAGTGCTAGGATGACAGGCATGAGCCACTTTGCCCGGCCAGATGAACCTTGAAGCCATTATGTGAAGTGAAAGAAGCCAGCCACAAATGACCACATATTGTATAATTCCATTTATATGAAATGTTCAGAATAGGCAAAACTATGGAGACAGAGAGTTGATTAGTGATTGCTTAGGTGTGGGGGTGTTTGGTGGGGGAGGCATGGAGGTGTATGGTATATGCATGGTGGGGGTGATTGCTAATGGGTACTGGATTTCTTTTGAAAGGGAGACAAAATGTTCTAAAATTAGATTGTGATGACAGTTGCACAGCCCTGTAAACATACTAAAACCACTGAATTGTACATTTCATATGGGTGAATTTTATGGTATGTGGACTGTATCTTAATAAAGCTGTTAACAAAAAATCAATACAAACAAGGCCAAAAACACAAAAGCAAGATGGACAATGAATATAACGAGACAATCCATGGGGAAAGAAGTACCTCTTAGGCCCAGGAAAGATGCTCAACAGTGCTCATAATAAGAGAAATACATTAGCCGGGTGTGGCGACACACACCTGCAGTGCTAGCTACTAGGGAGGCTGAGGCAAGAGAATCACTTGAACCCAAGAGACAGAGGCAGCAGTAAGCTAAGACTGCACCACTGCATTCCAGCTGGGGCAACTAAGTGAGACCCTGTGAAAAAAAAAAAACAGAGAGAGAAAAAAATATAAGACCGAGCATGGTGGCTCATGCCTGTAATCCTAGCACTTTGGGAGGCTTAGATGGGAGTATTGCTTGGGCCCAGGAGACCAGTTTAGGCAACAAAGTGAGAAGGGTATCTCTACAAAAAAATCAACAAAATTAGCTGGGTGTGGTGGCATGTATCTGTAGTCCCAGCTACTTGGGAGTCTGAGGTGGGAGGATTGCTTGAGTCTGGGAGGTTGAACCTGCAAAAGTGATATAAAAGTCCAATGAGTATCATTTTCACCTGTTCAGCTGGGAAATTTCAAACAAAGTATGATAATGTGCTCTTGGTCTGACTGTAAGGAAACGCTGTACACTGATGGTGGAAATCAAGACAGTTCAGCCTCTGAGAAGGGCGATTTGGTAATATCTATACAGTTAACATATTCATATCCTTTCTCCCAGCCTGGAGCTACCATGTGCCCATGAACTGTCTTCTAGGCTTGTTTGCTATGAGATAATGAGGCCTTACATAATTAAACTTTTATTATGTTGGGTTTTCTGGTCTGTGAGACCAAAATGAAAACTGATAATTGTAGCAATTCCACTTCCAGGAATTTATTCTAACATGTTTTCCCTACGTGTTTTTCATAGCAATGAATTGGGAACCACCCACATTTCCATCTAAAGAAGAGTAGTTAAATACGTTATGGCGCCTCCATGTACTGCCATGCAGGGAATACAGTATTGCTTTACAAAGGAATGACGATGCTCTTCATGTGCGATGGACAATGATCTCCAAGATGTGTTGTTAAGAGCCCCATGTAAGGTCGGGCACAGTGGCTCACGCCAGTAATCCTAGCACTTTGGGAAGTCACGGTGGGCAGATCGCTTGAATGCAGGAGTTCGAGACCAGCCTAGGCAACATGGCAAGATCCTGTCTCTACAAAAAAACACAAAATTTAGCCAGGTATACTGGCATGCACTTTTAGTCCCAGCTACTTGGGAGGCTGAGGTGAGAGGATTACTTGAGCCTGGGAGTTGGAGGTTGCAGTAAGCCAAGATCACACCACTACAATGCACTCCAGGCTGGGTGACAGAGTGAGATCCTGTCTAAAAAAAAAAAAGAAAAGAAAAATCCTTGCGTATGATATGCTACTATTTATGTAAAAGCTAAAATATATGTATATTTTATACTTGTAAATATAGAGAAAATCTCTGGGTGGAGATGTGGAAAGTGATAATTGTGTGGTAGAGGGCTAGGGTGTGAGAGACTCACTTTTCACTGCATATCCTTTTTGTGCCTTTTGAATTTTATACCATGTGTAAATTGACCTATTCAAAATGATAAGCAGAATAAAGGATGCCACGCCAGGAAGATGGTGCACCTTGAGAATAGGACTGTCTCTACTTGCACTTCACAACTATCAGATATGGCTCCAGATATGCAGCTTCTCCGAAACACCAGGGGAATTCGAAAAGCACAGTCTTATTGCCCAAACGCTGGGTTATGGTCCTGGAGATGGATTCTAATTTGCCATGTGCCTTTAGGTGGGTTACTTCCCATCTCTGAACCTCTGCTGGACCACCTGACTCCTAGGGGCCTTCCAGATCTCAGGCTCTGATTCTGCTGCTCAGCCAATACAAGGCTCACTAGACAGCCACCAGATGGCGCTCTGACCCTGCTTCCAAAGTGAGATGAGGCTGGGCCCATCCAGCTTTTACAAATGATGGGTGTCACTGGAGGGAATTTTAATATTGAAAGTATCAAAAAGGTCACTTCTGTAATCCCAGCACTTTGGGAGGCCGAGGTAGGGGGATTGCTTGAGCCCAGGAGTTAGAGACCAGCCTGGGTGATATAGCAAGTCCCTTATCTCTATTTATTTATTTAGAGACGAAGTGTTGCTCCTTGCCCAGGCTGGAGTGCAGTGGTGCAATCCCGGCTCACTGCAACCTCTGCCTCCCGGGTTCAAGGGATTCTCCTGTCTAAGCCTCCCAGGTAGCTGGGATTACAGGCCTGTGCCACCATGCCCGGCTAATTTTTTTTTTGTATTTTTAGTAGAGACGGGGTTTCACCACGTTGGCCAGGCTGGTCTCAAACTCCTGACCTCAAGTGATCCACCCGCCTCCGCCTCCCAAAATTCTGAGATTACAGGCATGAACCACCCCACCTGGCACCCCCATCTCTATTAAAAAAAAAAAAGAAAGCATCAAAAAGGGTGTGATTCAGGGAGCTGCATAAAACAAAAAGAGGTGCTGAGGGCTGAGTTTCTCCAGGAGTCAGATGGTGGAGGACACAGTCAAGTGCCCTCAACCAGGAGGGCAGGGTGGCCTAGCGTAAGAGGCTGGCAAGACTGCAGGCTGGCAGGAGGTTTCAGCCTCCCTGTGAGCTGGGGAGGCCTTGGCTGGGGCAGAGAGCCATGAAGGGCATGGGCTGTGGAATCAGGGGCGGGCAGGTCTGTTGACCTCTCTGAGCTTGTTCCCATCTGTAAAATGGGGTAATTCTGTCACCTGTGATATTGATTGTCATTCTTTTAATAGTGTTTGTTCTTGAAACATTAGAAAGCTCAGTAAATGTAGCTGTTATGTCTATGGGTAACGGGGAAGCTGCCTCTACAGAGGACACCTTTTCTTGGGGCTTGATATCCAGGCTCCTAGCCCAGAGGGTAGGCACGAGGGCTTCTTGGAGGAGGGAGATCCCCCGTGTGAGGCAGCGGTACTCTGTAGGAGCTGATCATTGCTGGGCTCAGAAAGAATTCCCTAGTTGTCTAATGTACGGCAAACACCGCAATTACTTTTGCACCAACCTAATAGATATCTCCTGGTTTTTCCTTTTTATGTGGACATGTGAGGAAAGTCCTATGTATCTTTGCCTTAAAATGGTTCTGTTTAAATGTTATAAAATATAAATGCTATGGATTAAAAAGAGCGGGTGGCCTTTTTAAGACATTTCTGGCTGAAGCCAGCATTGAAACTGCTGGAAACCACTAGGGCTGTTAATGTGTGATTTTTAGCGACTCCGGGCAAAGCGACCTTTTCTCCAGAGCAGAGATTGGTGTTAGTGGGGAGGGGTGCCGGCAGGATAAATGCTGCAGTGGGACACTCTTCTCCGGAGTGAAAGTGACCAAGTGGGAGGAGTGTCTGCCTCAGGCCTCTGCACTTCTTCCTCACTTTCTCAGCTGAAGGAATCTTGGAACTATGTGCTTATAGGAAGGGAAATCTTTTTATCCCCCCACGGAAAGGGGCTCTTTGCCCACCACATGAGGTTGTACCTCCTGGAAGAGGCTCCTTGTTAATTCCATCAAGGGGGCATATCAGCTGGCTTTGGCCCTAGTGGAATAGAGTGGAAATTGGTTTTCCTTCCTCAAAAACAGAACTAAAGTCTTTCCTGAGAGCAGCAGATCCCAGTCTTTATTTCTCCAAAACAGTGCTTCCAGAACTTTCCTGTTAAAATGCAGATTCCCAGTGGCCATTACGCAGTGATTCTCGAGAGAGTAGGTCTGGTGACTTGGTCCTGACAGGCCTGGTGGGAAAAAGCAGTTCCAGCTGCTTCAGCCCTCCAGCAGGGGCTGGGGGATGACAAGGACATGGAAAGACCCCAGAGCATGGATGGGAGGGAGCTGGCTCAGGGGCCACAGGGCCCTACCTCAGGGGTGCAGGCTGAGCAGGCAGGTAGGGCAACACTATCCCAAAGCAAATAGCAGTAGCAGGGCGGCCTCTAGGTCTGAGGGGAAGGAGGTGGAGTGGGAGAACATTGCATTTGCAGTCCAAGCTCTGCTCCTTACCTCCTGGGCGACCTCAGACAAGTCACTCAGCCACTTGGGCCTCACCTGTAAGTTGGGCATGGTGATTCCTGCCTGGCATCTGATAGAAACTCAACAGAGGTAGTGGTTTTCTTCCTTGTATTAGATCATCTGAACTTGGCCCGCAGGCCCCTCGGGCAACAGGCCTCAGAGTGTCTCTTGCGCTGTGAGAATAGGGGAGGTAGTGAGCTAGGCCTATGCCCTTTGTAACAGTACCCACACATACCCCTGCCCCTGCTGCGGACCTCCTTGGCTCACCTGTCCCGATCGCTCCCGGATTGTTGGTCTCTTATGGCAACTGAAAGTACAGATGGTCATGACCGCCTCCTGGGTCCTTATCAGGCCTCAGTTTCCCTAGGGGTGAAATGAGGCAGGCTGAGATGCCTCTGGGGCTCCTTCCAGCTCTGGCCAAATCTTGCATGAGGATTTGTTCTGCTCTGTGCTGACTGAGGCAGGGAAGGGGAACCATGTCATCCTTCATGGCCCTGCTGCAGGTGTCCCCTGGGGACCTCGGCTGACTTCCTGACTGCTTTCAGGGTCTCCTCATGAACATGAGGCTTTGTCTGAATGCCATGGTCAGATTTTTCACCATGAACCAACCAGAAGGAAGGGGAGAAGTCCTCTCCATGATTGTCCAAATCAGAGTGGCTTTTTGGCTTTAGCCTGGCTCTGTTACTTTTCTGGTGTGACTCTGAGCTTATCTGAGCTTTCTGTATCGATCCTCCTTATTAGCAAATGGAGGGGAGGAAGAGGTGGTCCCTGTAGGTCCTTTCTATAAAGGCAGGCATACTTGGTCCCACTGTGAGACTCTGTACATTTCCACTGAAGATCCATTCCTCACGCTTTGAGGGCCCTTTTTGAGGCTGGCTGGGGAGCCGAAGCTCCCCCTTCCTAAGCATTTTAGCCGTGGGGTTTAGACAGGTCCACTGGCCTAGTGGAAGCATGAAGCCCTCATTCACAGAGTGGGCACGATTTTGACTGCCTTGCCCACCTCACAGGTTCAGAGAGTGGACAGAAGGAAGGGTCCACTAGAAAGTAAGTACTGTGCTGGTATGGTCGATTACGAGGTCCATTTTTGCAGCCCAGAGCAGGGGGAAGTGGGAGCTGCTGTTCACTTTTGATGCTTGGATTGGGATGGCCTGACAGCAGCCTGGCCCCGGCAGTGATCTGCCCTCAGCATCCTGGAGCCCCAACCACTCCCAGCCATGGGCTGACCCCATGGGAGGTGGCGTCCTAGGGGTGGGTTGTGGGCCTTCCGAGGCTCCTAAGCTGTTAAGTGGTGAGGGAGCCAGGTGGACAGGTGGTACTGGCCCATCCCAGCCTCAGCACACTCCTGCCCGTCACGGCTCCTGCTCCCTGCCCTGAAGGCAGGGCTGCTGGGGCCACCGAGGCCACTGGCATGACTATCAGGACATCTGATTCTTGAGTTGGAGGCCGCTGTGCAAATGCGAGGCTGAGGACAGCCCGGAAGATTCCATTACAGTGTTTTGACAATCTTCTCCCTTGGCTGTGCCACAGGCTCTCCTTGGCCTCCCTGCCAGGCAGGGGAGTAGCTTGTTCTCAGCTCTGGAAGCAACAGCTGGGGCATCCCGGGCCCTCCCAGCCCACAGAGAAGGGCTTGCTATGTGCCCTCCTGCCGTTCCCCTGCCTAGGCTGGTGTAGAGAGAGTGATCTTACAGAGCGCAGGCATTGGGCTACGAACATCTGTCAGGAGTGAGTGATGCCAGGTGAATCTTCTAGAAACTCTAAATTCCATGAAATTTTCCTCCACTCGGAAACTTTTGCTGGCTCCCTGTTGCCTGTGAGTAACAGCTAAGAGCTGAACATCCTGTCTGGTGGATGCCTCCAATGTCTCTTCCATTCTCCCCTGCCTTTCCTTACTCCTTCCCTCCTCCCCACACTTTCACAACCATCTTTGATGCCTATTAAGTGTAGGTATGGCATGAAGCTCCAGAGATAAAACCACAAATGAGATGGACACAGCCCCGGACTCATGGAGCCCACTCCCTCCCCTTCCTAAGGAGATCCCCGGGCTCTTCTCACTGTTCTCCAGCACTCTGGGAACATTCCCCTATGGGGCCTTTGCTCAATTTCCTACACCTGAAATGCTGTTGCCATGTGCTAGATCCCACCATTCCTTCCAGGCTCAGTCAGGCCCAGCCCCGGCCCCATGTCCACACCTCCCCAGCCTTGGAGCCCTCTCTGTCTCACTTGGCACTCAGCCCACACACCTTGACCTTCATTTCTCTCTGCAAAGCTCCATCAGCCCTGTGCTCACACTCATGGTGGCAGACACGAGCGGGTCCTATCCAAGTCCCTCCCTGGGGCCCAGCTCCTAGTACTGGAGAAGGGAGTGGGGGTCCCCATGGGGTCAGCATTGGGCTTATCCAGGAATGCAGACCTGACTGGTCGGGCTGAAGTGCTTTAGGGGCAATTTTGCATCAGGGTCTGTGGTGCTTCTTGGCCAGCCTCATCTGAAGGGAAGCAGGCAGACCACAAGGGAAATAAAAGCATAGCAGAGCATAGCACTGAGGTTTGTATGGTTCCTGCCACACAGCCCAGTCCTCATGCACTCAGGAGAGAGGGCTAAGTCACAGAGAGGGGGCTGTGAGTACAAATCCAAAGCGTTTTCACTAAACCCACCACGAAAGTTTGGAGCACCAGACAACATGCTCTGAAGTTGCAGGAGGGAGTGTCACAGTAGGTGGGTGGGGTTTGAGGACTGTGCTCATTGGGGCAGACTCTGCAGCCTGAGCAGCAGGATGGTCCGCCTGTCTTGACAGCTGTAGGCGAGGAGGAGCCTGTCTCCTTGAGCAGCTCCAGCCCCAAGCGGCAGGTGGCAGAACGATTGGGCCACATGGCGCCTTGTCCCTCACCCTGGTGTGCGTGCCAGCCTAGGCAGAGGTTACCCCATAGTGGTTTAGATGGGATGAGACCCTTTGGGACTCCTCGAAAAAGATGGGAGAGTAATTTTAATAGGCGAAGAAACAGCCAAAGAAATGGGGTTTCATGGGCTCTGGGGATTTTCCATTTACCCTCAGCCTGCTAGGGCCTGAGAGACCCTGTTTGCCTAGGCAGAGGCACAGTGTTTTAGATTAGCTCCTGCCCCATTGACCTTTGCTTGATGTCTGGCTTGTGCCAGCAACACCCCATGGGGACCTCATGGTTGCTTGTTACATCCATATACTGATATGTGTCCAGCTTCGAGTGACACTAGCGACACCTGTGCCGACAGCTGGCCTGGTCTGGGGTGGGCAGAAGTTGACCAGAAGCATTGATGGCCTCCCCGCTGACCCTCTCATAAAGAGGCATGGGGGACTTACACCCCCTACCGTGGCCATCAGAACAAAATGGGTGTAGGTGGGAGTGCTTAGCTCATCTGCTGGGCCGTGTGCAAAGCCTCTATGGTTTGTTTTTTCCTAAACAGCTTCTTTGAGATAAAACTGACATAAAATAAACTACACATATTTAAAATGCAGAATTTGGTAAGTTGACAGATGTATATACATGTGAAGCCATAACAGAGAGCAAATGCATCCTTCGCCCCAAACCTTCCCTTGCTCCCCTCCTGCTCCCCGCCCCCTGCCCCCTCAACTTTTTTTTTTTGAGACAGTGTCTCACTCTCATCTAGGCTGGAGTGCAGTGGCACAATCATGGCTCACTGCTGCCTAGACTTCCTGGGCTCGGGTGATCCTCCTTTCTCAGCCTCCTGAGTAGCTGGGACCATAGGTGCGTGCCACCACACCTGGCTAATTTTTTTGATTATTTAGTAGAGATTGGGTCTCACTATGTTGCCCAGCTGGTCTTGAACTCCTGGGCTCAAGGAATCCACCCGCCTCGGCCTCCCAAAGTGCTGGGATTACAGGCGTGAGCCACTGCGCCTGGCCTGCTCACCTTTTTAATCCCAGCCTCCTCCCCTGGGCCAGGGCAACTGTTCATCTGCTTTCTGCCCCTCTAGATTAGCTTCTGTTTTCCGGAACTTTAGAGTAATGGAATCCTTCCATATGTGCCCCTGTTTGTCTGACTCCTTCTGCTTTTTGTGTGTTTCAATAGCTTCTTCCTCTTCATGGCTGTATTGTATTCCTTGCCACACATATACCCGGCTAATGTATCCATTTCCCTGTGGATGGACACGCAGGCTGTTTCCAGTTTTGGCCTGTTACAGATAGAGTTTTGAAGCTGGTGCAGATAGGGGAGAGCGCTAGCCAGGGAGCCCAGAGGCCCATTCCCTCCCTCTTTTTTGTGAGACGGAGTTTCACTCTTGTCGCCCAGGCTGGAGTGCAATGGTGCATTCTTGGCTCACTACAACCCTACCTCTTGGGTTCAGGTGATTCTCCTGCCTCAGCCGCCCGAGTAGCTGGGATTACAGGCACCCGCCACCACGCCCGGCTAACTTTTTTGTATTTTTAGTAGAGACGGGGTTTCATCATGTTGGCCAGGCTGGTCTCGAACTCCTGACCTCAGGTGATCTGCCTGCCTTGGCCTCCCAGAGTGCTAGGATTATAGGCGTGAGCCACCGCGCCCGTCCTCCCTCCCCTCTTTGTCTTACTGTTCTCTTCTGAAACATGAAGCATTGGACTCACAGTTCCTAGGGGCCCTTGGCTTTAACAGTTGGCTTCCTTCATTTTTCTCTGTTAATGCTGTGCTCCTGTGACAGTGAGGGCCAATGGCAGAGGCTGGGCCTGCTCAGGACCTGGGGGTGCTGGGCTCTGCACTGCCCAAGCCTCATTCTGGAATTCAAGTGGTAAGTTTGTAGACCCTCAGCTCCGGTGAGCTTAGGCTACAGAATTTGGAGCTAGAAAGGACCTGAAGCATTGTCTGTATGGTCGCCTGACTGGGTGCATGGGTCCCCTGAAATGCGTGTTGAGGATCTGCTGGAGCCAGCCCATTGTGGCAGCAGAGCGCTGACGCTTGAATCCCATCCACCCTGGGGGGCTAGGGAAGGGTGGGGTGGGGCTGGGTTTGTCCCACCCCTACTGTCTCCACTGTCCCCTTCCCCCACCATGGCCAACTGGCCTCCCTCCCTGCCTCCCAGCAACCTCAGCAATGCCCTACTTAGACCCCGGAGAGGGGTCTGCCCATCTGTTCACCATGATAAGGCTGGAGGGGGCGGTGGCAGTGGGTTCCTATTGTGTCTGTGGCACCAGATTTGGAGATTAACTCCAAATCACTTCGGTCTCAGGAACAATGAAGTGGCTCCCCCACAGCCTGATGTCACCCCACCAACCTGCTGCTCCCTCTGGGAAGGGAGGATCAGGAAGGGATGGGCTCTGGCTTACTCTGCCTTCCAGAAGCTGCTGAAGCAGCATCTGGGATCCCCATTTGCTCAGGGGCAGGGATGAGGTTGGGGGGCACACCTGGGAAGGCAAAGAAAACAATGTGGCCCCAAGGGCCAGAGACTGTGGTGGCTGGATGGATGTGGAAGGTGGAGCCATGTGGCCTTGGATTCGAAACCTGGTTCTGCCACTTGGGTGACCTTGGATAAGTAAGGTGACCTCCCTGAGCCCCAGTCTCCTCACCTCTGGATGGGGATAATTGTACCTCCCTCTGCAGGGGTGTTGGGAGAATTGAGTAGCACTCCTAGCCCAGCTCCTCGCACATGCTTCATATCTATTGTTTGCTCCACACACCTCAGCCCCAACTGATCTAAGAGCCCTGGCCATCAAGTTTCCTGTGGCACATTTCAGTCCTTGGAGGCTGTCCTGAGTGATAAGGGACAGCCCTCTTGCTCCCTCTCTTCAAGGACAGGACAGGTGCCTGAGAGAGGAAGGGGCTCAAGTCTGAGCTGGGAACGGGCTGGGAAGGGCCATGCCCAGGTCAGGAGCTAGGGATGGGGTTTGGGCTGGGCAGAGCTTGGCTAAATGAAGAAGCCCAGATAAAGTGGTGGTGGCTGGGGGAGAAAGGGTGAAAGCTTAGTCAGGGAAGGAAGTGCCTTTTTTATTTTTATTTTTATTTTTATTTTTTTGAGACAGAGTCTCGCAGTGGCGCAATCTCGGCTTATTGCAACCTCCGCCTCCTGGGTTCAAGCGATTCTCCTGTCTCAGCCTCCTGAGTAGCTGGGATTACAGGTGCGCACCACCACTCCCTGCTAATTTTTGTATTTTTAGTACAGACAGGGTTTCACCATGTTGGTCAGGTTGGTTTCGAACTCCTGACCTCGTGATCTGCCCGCCTTGTCCTCCCAAAGTGCTGGGATTAGAGGCATGAGCCACCGCGCCCAGCCAGGAAGCACCTTCTATCTTTAGCAAGTTCAAATCTCCAGGTCACTGACATCTAGGGACTAGGAAGCTGTGCTGATGTGACTGGAGCCCAGCCACCTGCTGGCTTTGATTAAACAGATAATTTTCAAGAACAGATAAAAGGAGTGATGAGTAGCCAGAGCCAGCAACAGTTCACCAAGAACACGCCAGAATAAATGTCACCCTGAATTAAGGGTCCCTTATCTGATTCTGTCCTCTGATATTTTCATCAAAGGCTTGAGTAATGGCACAGAAGGCTATATTACCAAATTAGTGGGTGATGTGGGGCCAGGAGAGAGCAGGAAGAGATTTAATGTGGAACCAGGCTTCAACACCTGAAGCCTCATCAAAGGCCTGGAGCTGCTCAGTGGCACTAAAGTGCAGTCTGGCGCTGATATTAAAAAGGGTAACTGCTCAGCTTCGGCACAGGAGAGGCCTGGCTCAAAAGGTAACAGGCTGGGCATGGTGTCTCACACCTGCAATCCCAGCACTTTGGGAGGTGGAGGCGGGCGGATCACCTGAAGTCAGGAGTTCAAGACCAGCCTGGCCAACATGGCGAAACCCCGTCTCTACTAAAAATACAAAAATTAGCCAGGTGTGGTGGCAGGTGCTTGTGATCCCACCTACTCAGGGGGCTGAGGCAAGAGAATTGCTTGAACCCGGGAGGCGGAGGTTGCAGTGAGCTGAGATCATGCCACCGCACACCAGCCTGGGCCACAGAGTGAGACTCCATCTCAAAAAAAAAAAAAAAAAAAAGGTTAACAGACACTGATTTTTTCTCTTGTCTTGGAATTTGCCACCAGTATGCACAGCCAAGGACAAAGAGATGCTCTCAGTTCTCCCCAGCCTGGATAACTAAAAGAAAAGAAGGAGGATCCCTCTAGTTGTGGGTTGTCAGCCTCAGAGAGGAAACCTGGCAGAGTTGGAGCTGCAGGCTCCCAGGTATCACTCATAGAAACTGCAGGAAGGGGAGATGGCATCTTTTTCCCAGGTTGGATGTCTACTTTGAAATGAGCTCACTGCTCTGCTCCCAGTGCCTGTTTGAACAAGGGCAAAGAGCATGGGGAAAGGTGGCAAGGGTCTCTGGGGGCCCTCTCACTCCCATTGTCCAGCATGTATTCCATAGTCAGTAGTGGCCTGGTCACGTGTTTCCTCTTCCAGGAAACAACTGTGGGAGAGTGTTGATTTGGGGAGTCAGCCCGGTCAAAGGCATGACCTTTTCCCCAGGAACCTTGGTCTCCTCCAGCCAAAGGGCAGAGGTCATTGGCTGAACATTTTGCTGCCGTTGGTCGCGAGTCTAGGCTCTGGGCAGGGTTTGCTCAGGACATGTGGTGAAGTGGGTGAAGTGTTCCTAACTCCTGTCTCCTTTGGATGATGGGTTCTGTGAACCGTGTCCACCTGGGGGCTCCTCCACCCATGGGAAGCTGCCCAGTGAGCTGGGAGGCTGGTGAACAGCGGGACACTGCTGGCCCAGAGCTATTGTGACTGGGCTGCAGCCCTGGCCCAGCACATCCATCACCATGGAAATGCCTGTGGCTCTGCCCAGTGCTTCACATACAGGGTGAATGTGGAACAGTCCCTGCCTGCAGGACCTTGGGTCTTTCTAAACTGTAGTTTTGTAATCTGTAAAACAGGGGTGTTAATCCTCACTTAAACCACAGCGTTGTTCTTTTTGTTTTGTTTTGTTTTGTTTTTTGTTTTTGAGACAGAGTTTTGCTGTTGTCACCCAGACTAGAGTGCAATGGCGCAATCTCGGCTCACTGCAACCTCCGCCTCCTGGGTTCAAGCAATTCTCCTGCCTCAGCCTCCCAAGTAGCTGGGATTACAGGTGTCCGCCACCACGCCTGGCTAATTTTTGTATTTTTAGTAGAGATGGGGTTTCGCCATGTTGGCCAGGCTGGTCTTGAACTCCTGACCTCAGGTGATCTGCCTACCTTGGCCTCTCAAAGTGCTGGGATTATAGGTGTGAGCCACCGCACCCAGCCCCACAGTGTTGTTCTGATGATCAAATGAGAGAGTGATGTGAGAGCTCTGTAACTGCAAAATGCTGTTCATATGGATTCTCGAGGGGGTGCTGTTCACTGGCCAGAGAGGGTCACGGAGGTCAATTCCATCACAGTCCTTGCCCTAAGGGGCTGGCACCACCCACGAGGCCCTCCCCTGCAGCTGGGAGACTGAGAGGCAGGAGTGTGAGTCTCTGTGTTTGTCCAGATGTGGATGTGGTAAATTTCCAGCATCAGAGTGACTCAACCTCAGAGATTAGCAGTTTTCATCTGAAATCAGAGTCAGAGAAGGCTGGGCCCTTACTGGTGTGTGTGTGTGTGTGTGTGTGTGTGTTGGAAAGTTGGGCTATGTGGATACTAATTTTGGCTACACCATTATCTCGCTTCATGACCTTGAATATGTCACTTCCACTTCGAACCAAAATCCCTTCCTCTGAAACAGGAGCTGGAACAATTATCTGAGTGAGTGTGTGTGTGTGTGTGTGTGTATCTTTGCAACCTTTGAGAAAAAGTAATGGCTGCCGGACTCGGTGGCTCACGCCTGTAATCCTAGCACTTTAGGAGGCTGAGGCGGGCAGATTACTTGAGGTCAGGAGTTCAAGACCAGCCTGGCCAACATGGTAAAACCCTGTCTCTACTAAAAATACAAACATTAGCCGGGTGTGGTGATGGGCGCCTGTAATCCCAGCTACTTGGGAGGCTGAGACAGGAGAATTGCTTGAACCTGGGAGGTGGAGTTTGCAGTGAGCCAAGATCATGCCCCTGCACTCCAGCCTGGGCAACACAGCAAGACTCCATCTCAATAATAATAATAATAATAATAATAATAAAAGATGCTGTTGTTCCAGCATCAAGGCTCCTTCCTCACTGGGCAAGAGGAAGGTACTGAGTCCACGACAGATTGAACTTTTCAGGGGTTACCTGAGAAACAGAGTCATTCCAACTTCTTACCTGAATCCAGCTTTGGGATTGAGAGGGGGCCACAGCTTTGTGCTGCTCAATGGAAATGGTGATGTGAGCTGCAAGGGAGGGAGCTTGGCTTGGTCACTGTCGGCAGTGCCTCTTTCTTCTGCCAACTTGTCTGTCCTAAACACATCCTTCCCTGGCCCTGGACAACCCTCTCTTGCCTCTAGCTTCCTGAGATAAGTTATGGGAAGGCTACTGGGCTTGGGGGTAGGGGGAAATGCTGAGCCTGCAGAAAGAGCTAAATGTGGGAATGTGAGGGCCTGAGGTAAAATAGGATTTCTTTTCTTTCTTTCTTTCTTTTTTTTTTTTTTTTTTTTGAGACAGAGTCTCACTCTGTCGCCCAGGCTGGAGTGCAGTGGCATGATTTCGGCTCACTGCAACCTTCGCCTCCCAGGTTCAAGTGATTCTCCTGCCTCAGCCTCCTGAGTAACTGGGATTACAGGTGCACGCCACCACACCCAGCTAATTTTTGTATTTTTGGTAGAGACAGGGTTTCTCCATGTTGGCCAGGCTGGTCTCAAACTCCTGACCTCAGGTGATCTGCCCACCTCTACCTCCCAAAGTGCTGGGATTGTAGGGGTGAGCCATCGCACCCGGCCAGAATAGGATTTCTTAGCTCCAATGGAATCTGTCATCTTTGAAGGATGACATCTTTAGATTACAGCCTCCTCTCTCACCGAGGTTCTGAATAAGAAATGACCACATCATAAATAGCTCTGAACTTCTGCCACACCTTTGCTGAAGATGTGGATCATCATGGGACAGTACACAGCAGGTGGGTAAGAGCATATGCCTCGCAGCCATCGGCCTGTGTTCAAATCCCCGCTTTGCCATCAATTCACTGCCTGATATTGAGCAAGCGGGCTGCTTTGAGCCTTGGTCGAATCTGGCACGCAATTGAGAATAACATATGTATTTTATATTGTTGTAGTCTTCACTTATAGAAGGACTTGCAAGCTAAACTTCTTTTATAATTTAGTGTGGGGTGAGGAGGAAGGATCAGCCTTCTCTCTTCATCAGTGAGATTTCGATGGATCAGCATTTCCCAAAGCATGTGCTGTGACATACAGGGCTCGGAGAGATGTCGTGCAAACAGAGGCTCTGGTATTTGGAATGAGTTTGGGCAGTGCTGGATTAAGCAGGGGTAAACAGCATCTTTGCTGCAAGACTTTTCATAACCTTTATTAAGCTAAGATGCCTTGCGAAGCTCCATGAGTCGGTGATATTGACAGCATTTTCCCAAATTCATTTGACCAACGAACCATTTTTTCCACGAGGCATACCATGGGACACGTTTTGAAAAGAATTGTCGTTACATCCCTCTTTCTCTCTTGGCCCCCGGAAACTTCTATTTCCATCTGATGCTCACCCCGAGTAACCAAATCAGCGGGGATCTGGGTATATTTATACCCCACCTCCACTCTGCTGTGCTGGTTTTCTATTTTTGTTTTGCTGTACATATATCTTTTAGTGCAGGATGCCTCAGATGCTGTGTGGAAATGAGGGGGGTGGGGATGGCATCATCTGGAGAGAAGGAGCCCACGCTAGAACCTCAGGCAATTCTGAGATCTTAGGAGATGTGAGCAGGGACATGGGTGCAGTTCACCACTGCTCTGCCCAGCTGTCACAATGCTGATCACCCCTAGGGAGATGGGGATAAATGCAGCCCCTTAGGGGACTTCTCCCAGGTCTGTTTGTAAAGTCTGTCCCAGGCGATAAAGAAAGGAGGGCAAGTGTCATCACATTTATGTCCTGCAAGCACTGCTTAAGAAAATAAGAGTCACCTTGAACTGGTCATTGCCAACCTCAAAAACAAGCTAATTTCTGCTATTGTTGCATTTAGCTGTTTTAAGAAAGACAGAGGCAGGTGGGACAGGGCAGTAAGCCTCAGATTTTGATGTGGTGGCCTTAGGAGTGGGTGAGTCAATGGCAACTAAGCCCCCTGAGGGCTGCAGGCCAACAAGGAGCTGCCAGGAGTGCTGTCACAGGAGGGCTGGCTGTGTCCTGCCTCTGGGGGCAGGGAGTGCAGGTGCCATCATTTCTTCCTTTGAACTCTGAACCCCCCATCAAAGCTTCCCTCTCTGTATCTTTCAGTTGACCTATGCGGGTAACGAGGGGCGGTGTGGGCACTGGGAGAAAGTGTCCCTACTCCCACTCTCTTTATTTCTCCAGTATATTTCAATCTGCAGGTATTAAACCATTAGCAGGTAGAGACATCAATTTAGTGGATCGTGACCAGCATTTTATAACATGCAATAGAACAGAACGTATTAGAATCATTGGCTGTAGCAGGGTTGCTAAGAATTATTTTGTGAAAGGTAGGCAGATAGATAGGCATGGAGCTAGATAGGTACAGAGCTGTGTGCTATTACTGTGGATTGTACTCTATGAAGTCCGGGGGTCGCTGTAGCTGACCTGGGGAGCTGGCACCAGATGGATAAGGTGGGTCTGCTCTCACGGTCTGTCGTAGGTTCTGAGGCCCAGTCCCAAGCCTGAGCTGTCCCTCTAGACCCAGAGAAAAATCTACCCCAAAGAAAGGTGCTTGTGATGCACTCTCCTTCAAAGACATATGTTTTAGTCAATCAGGCCACTCAGCCAGGGGGCCCCTACTGCAGGAGAAGGAATCCATTCTCCTGGCTGACTGGGAGGTACCACTGTCAGCTGGGGTGTGTCCAGGCGGACTGTGCAGTCTGTGTGAGGATGGGGAGCACTGGAATAGCAATCCCCAGTCCTAGTTCCTAGCCTAGGTCTGCCACTCACTGCTGTGTGACTCAGGCAGGCGATTTGCTCTCTGTGGGCCTCAGTTACTCATGTACGGGGGGGACAATAGGACCAGGTGATTTCTAAGGTGATCCTTTCTTAGTCTGTTCCAAGGGGACTTAAGAAAATCTGGATCTTCTGGGAAATCCCAAAAGGGAAGCCAGTGTCGCCCACAGGCCAGCGAGCCCATGGCGAGTCAGCTAGGTATGTTATTTTATTTTATTATTATTGTTTTTTTTTAGACAGGGTCTCACTCTGTCGCTCAGGCTGGAGTGCAGTGGCACGATCTCAGCTCACTGCAACCTCCGCCTCCCGGGTTCAAGCGATTCTCGTGCGTCAGCCTCCTGAGTAGCCGAGTAGCTGGGACTACAGACATGCGCCACCACGCTCAGCTAATTTTTGTATTTTTAGTAGAGACGGGGTTTTACCATGTTGGCCAGGCTGGTCTTGAACTTCTGACCTCAGGTGATCTGCCCGCCTAGTGCTGTGACTATAGGTGTGAGCCACGGCACCCAGCAGCTAGATATGTTTGTAGACCCCGGCAGGGGAGGGGGTGGGAGATGGCCCCTCCCTGGCAGCAGCAAGGGCATACGATGACAGAGGCAGCTGGAGCCTGAGCCTGGTCTCCGTGGATAGCATTTATTGGGCGCCATTCTCAGTGTGAAGACAGATAGGCAGGAAGAGCTGAGGGAGGCTGTGGCAGCCACGACCTTTGGAGTCCGGGGGCTGCCCGGGGTGGGGGTGTGGTCGTGAGGGCATGGTCACCCACACATATTGCATATTCTGTGGCAGTGTGCCCAGGCATAAGGCATTGGGGAAGCAGAGAGGCTGCCTGCAGTGAAAGGGAGTGAGGGGGAAGCAACACTGGCCTTCCAGGTCCCTAGGAAAGACCCAGCAGAGACTGAACAGTCTGCCACGCTGTGCCCCACGGCCATTCTGCACCCTTCCCCACCTTCTCTCCGCAGCTTTGGTTGTGGCTCCCTCGGGACTGACAGGACAGGACCCTTCGAGGGCAGGGTCACACACAGGACAGAGGCAGCCAGCACTGCCCCCCCACCCCCAACATAAACACAGAGGGCACCTTCAGGTCCCACGTGCAGCCAGTTCCTCCACACTGAGACGGGACTCACAAGCAGGGTAGACTTCTTCCCCCCAGGGGTCCCCAGAGACTAGAGGACACAGCTGGGGTGGGGCCTGAGGCTGGCCACCCTACGGGTGCTGCCCTCCAATTTCCCTGAATGCCAGGGCTGGCCTTGGTCGGCAGTGTTAAGGAGCTGGCAGGGGAACAGCATGGGAAGGCAGTGTTGCGGGAGGAGAGGCCCCTCATCCACCCCTTGATGTTGTCCCAGTCATTATACCGGCTCCAGCTGTGGGGCCCCAAAAGTGAGCCTCAAGCATCACCTTCGTCAGCTGCGTTCCATCTGGGCTTCTGGGTTGCAGGTGTGGTGGGCAGAGGGCACCTCTGGTCCAAACTCCCCCACCTGGGAAGGGTGTTTCTTGCTGCAGCCTCAGCTTATCACTAGCTACTTGGGACACAGGCACCAACAATGACAATGGTGCCAGGTGTGATGTCCCATAGGATATGCCTGCCAGCTTTCTTGGCCACTCTGCCCAATTCCCAAATTCCTAGAGCCCCAGATCCTGGCCTTTCTGCCATGAGACCCAGCCCTGCTTACCTCGGTCCCAAGAACTGCACTGTTTGTAAGCATGCGCCCCAGTGACAAAGGCCCCTGTGCAGCCTCAGGGGCCCATTCAGAGCTGCTGCCTCCTGGCCAAGAAGAGAAGAGGCTGAACCTCAGCAGTGCCCTCTGATCCGGGACTTCTGATTCTGGTTTAAAACCCAGGTAGCCACACAATGCCAGGATGTACACTGCAGGAGCTTTGCTTTTAAGAGCAGGCCAAGCTGGAAGGAAAGAACACTTTGGCTAGCAACAAGCAGGCTGGGCTCTTGTCTCCCTTTGCCATTTTTTTTTTTTTTTTTGAGACAGGGTCTTGCCCTGTCACCCAGGCTGGAGTACAGTGGTGCAATCAGGGCTCACTACAGCCTCGACCTCCCAGGCTCAAACAATCCTCCCACCTCAGCCTCCCAAGTCGCTGGGACTCCCAGGCACGTGCCACCACACCTGGTTAATTTTTTATTTTTTGTAGAGATGGGGTCTCACTATGTCACCTAGGCTGGTCTCAAATTCCTGGGCTCAAGCAATCCTCCAACCTCAGCCTCCAAAAGTGTTGGGAATACAGGTGTGAGCCACTGCACCCAGCCCCCACCCCTTTGCCTTTTGCTCTCTGGTCACTTCACCTGTCCAGGCCTCAGTATTCTCATCTGTAAAATGGGAGTGAGAACTCCTGCCCTGATGACCTAAGTAGGGTTTTGTGAGACTCAAAGGAATCAGTGGCCAGCATAGAGTTTTCAGAGGCTAAAAATCACTCGACAAATTTAAGAGTGGGTAATTATCAGCAATTATGGTGAGTCTGAAGTCTTCTGTTCCAGATTCTAAGGGCAGTGTCTGGAAGGCTGAAGTCCTACCTGCTATGAGAATGTGGCTGGAGGCCAGTTAGCTTGAACCTCCAGTGCGACCATTCTGCAGACTGACAGGCCGCTGCCTCCTGCCTCCCAGCTCGCCCCTCCTGCTGCCTGCCTGTCCCTCCTTCTTTCTGTCCTGCTTTCTGGGGACCAGCTTTAGGGACTGCTGGGTTTCCACTTTCTCCATAACTGCAAAGCCATGCAAAACAACACGAAGGGAGGTTGGGAGACACAGCTGGGGATGAGGAAGGGGAGTGGGGCTGAGTAGGGGTGACTTGGACATAGACACCCTGGCTTTTGGAACCAAGGGAAGGTGGGAGACCTAGCAGGACAGAGGTATAAATAGAGATGCAAACGTACACGGAACATGAAGTCCCCTCCGAAGGTGGGGGTCTGGGTACCAGCAGGGTCTCTGAGGACTGGGAGCTTCTTAGATTTTCAAAGGGAAGGGAGGCTCCCAGCTTCTGCCTTTCCTCCCTGACCCCACCAAGTTTCACATTTCTCGGAATTTGCAGGGCTCCGATGGGGGCCCCAGGGGTCCTCAGAGCCCGGCCTCCTGCCGGCTGGTGCAAGCAGGCACAGTCGGAGATGGGGGTGCTGGGGGAGAGTGGTGAGGGATGTTGTGCGGGGTCCCACTGGGCAGAAGGCAGCAGGGGCAGTCTCCTGGCCTCCCAGCAGGGGTCCCCCGCCCGCGCCCCCAGGTGCTCCAGGCCCCTCGGGGCAGTCACACGGAGCTCCTGCGCTTCATGAGGCCGCGGAAGGTGGACAGGCTGTGCAGACCCGTGGACACCGAGCTGATGGCGGAGCGTGGCGCCCCGCTGCACAGGCAGCGTCGCGAGGGCGTGTCGCTGTAGCGGCCGCCCCCTCCCGGCGACGAGTGGCTCTGCTCCACGCACGTGTCGGACGTGGAGAGGTCCCGCGGGATGATCATGGGGATGGAGTACTGCAGCTTCTCGCGGCTCTTGTACCACAGGCACGAGCACATGGACTGGAAGTGCAGCACCTCCGCGTAGACGTTGCGGAAGCCGCCGCCGCCCGCTGCCGCCGTGGATGAGGCGGTGTCCGTAGTGTGCGCGCTGCCACCCCCTCCGCCGCCGCCCGCCTGCCCGTTGCGCGTGAGCAGCGCGCGGTGCTCGGCGTCGCGCTTCTCGTCCTCGGCGTTCATGGTCATGAAGCGCAGCACCACGAGGTTGAGGAAGGCGCCGATGACCGTGAGGCCCGTAAGGATGTAGACGAAGCTGAAGGCCACGTACTGCGGCTGCGTCTGCAGGGCCTGGTCCTTCTGCAGCGCCACGTAGTCGCCGAAGCCGATGGTGGTGAGGGTGATGAAGCAGTAGTAGTAGGCCTGGAAGAAGGTCCAGTGCTCGTAGTGGGAGAAGGCGGCGGCGCCGATGCACAGCGTGCTGATGCACGAGAAGAAGCCGATGAGCACCATGTTGGCCATGGACACGTCGGCGCGCCGCATGCCCAGCCCCTTCTTGGCGCGGTGCAGCAGGTACCTCACCAAGGTGTTGATGCGCTCGCCCAGGCTCTGGAACATGACGAGCGTGAGCGGGATGCCCAGCAGCGCGTAGAACATGCAGAACACCTTGCCGCCATCCGTGCTGGGTGCCGCGTGCCCGTAGCCTGGGGGAAAGTGGGAAAGAGGAGAAAAAGCACACATTTTGGGGCTGCCCTTCCAGAAACCTTCTTCTCCCTCCCCGTTGCCCCGCCACCTCCCCCACCTTGTGGGTCTGGGTCCACAGTGATGGGCGCTCCTTATCCCCACGCACTGTGCTAGGCCCTGGCTCATGCTTTCTATTGTACTCTTGTGACACCTGCAGAAGGTATGTAGGAAGGAAGAAATAAGGAGGGATGACTTCCAAGGTCACACGGCTTGGGAGCAGAACAACCGTGTTTGAACTCGAGTCCGTTTGACCTCAATGACGGGACTGTTTTGTATGCCTAGAGAAGGGGTGGCCTGGGTGCTGCTGAGAACTTGTCTAGAGGCACAGGGAGAGTGTGAGGGCACAGGTCAGCTGGGAGAGCTGGATTCTAGTTCAGTGTCCTGGGCTGCGGGCGTGGTCCTTGTCCTCTCCATGCCTCAGTTTCCTTGACTACAAGGTGAGGTGGTTGCCCTGAATGGTTTCTGACATCCTGTGATCCAGTGTACAGGAAGGGAGACTGAGGCAGGGCTGGCTTCTTGGTGGATTCCCCGCTGCCAGCCAAAGCTTATGTGGGGTTGCTTGGCAACAAGGGCCCTTCAGTCTCCCTGGGGCAGCTGGCCCACTGTGCCACAGAAGAAAGGAGACTGCCTGCCCCTCCCTGCAAGAGCAGGATGAATGAGTGTTCCAGGGTCCCCATCAGCCTCCAACTGGAGGCCTTGGGGTCTTCCTCTGTACTTGACCTGATGTAGGATCTGTCCTCATGGGGAGGTGGTGTTACCCTTGGCAAAGCAGGAGCCCTCGGTGTCTTTCCAGGTGTGTTACTATCATCAGCCAGATAATCTCTCTGTACCCCGCCCCCACCCTGGCCCACCCTGAGCCAAGATCAGGGCAGAGGCAAATGTTCCCTCTGCACCAGCCATTCCAAAGCCTAAGTTGAGAATTCTTCCGGCTAACTGGAGGGAAAATGACCCTGGATGGGAACTCATCCCTAGTGACAGGGCCCTAGTGGCTGTGTGACCTTGGGCAAATTACTCCCACTCTCTGAACATGTTTCTTCATTTGTAAAGTGTGTTTACTGGTGCTGGCCTGCTTCTTTTATTGTTGATATATTTACTACTTTTATTAACATAATTATGATAATAAAATGACGCTGGCATTTTCTTCCATTCTAAGCCTTATCAAATCTTAACCAAATGTTTCTTCTTCCATGCAGTCCTCCTGGATTCCTCACAGCTTATGATCTCTGCCTTATTTGAGTGGCACTGAAAATGTTCAGCTTGTAATTCCAGGGCCAATATTACCACCACCCCCTGTCCTCTAGGATCCCCAACTACATAGAGCTAAACACTAGCTTTGGGGGGAAGGGGTGGCACTGATGGGTCTTGTCACTTTCCTCTCTAGCTTCTACCTCCACATTGCCAGCCATACCTATGGAGGCCCAGAATATGTTTGATAACTAAATTGCAAGGCAGGATACTGTGTGACTCTGTCCTGGACTTACTGTCTCTCTCTCTCTCTCTCTCTCTCTCTCTCTCTCTCTGTGTGTGTGTGTGTGTGTGTGTGTATGCATGATTTCTCTGAGCCTTAGTTTCCACATCTATAAAATGGGGTTAATAATACACTTGCCTCACAGGACTTTGGGGAGGAATAAGTAAGATCATGTGTGTAATGCACTTAGCCCAGAGCCTGGTACCTATCAAGTGCTCAATAATGGCTCACTGTGATTAATAATGAGTGAAGTGCCAGATTACTGTCATGTTTCCAAGAGAGCAGCCAGGCTTGAGGGCAGCTCAGTTCCAGTAAAGCTGGCACCTCTGTCAACCCAGGGCCATTTGGATCTTAAAGCTCAAGGAGCTCTGGGGACAGCTGCTTGGGGCTGCCCTTAGAACCAGCTCCCCTGACCCCCTCCACAGCGTCGGGCCAGTAACTGTGTCACCATTTGCTAGGGACCTGGACAGCTGAGCTGTAGAGCCACTGTGCTTAGGACGTCTGTGCTCCAGTAGGGTGAGAACAGATTGTGCCCGCCAGCTGGGCCATGGCAGCCAGACCACAACTCACCTCGACAACTGGGCAGGCCCTGAGCCAGAGCTGCTTCTCATCCCGTCCTTCCCTGTCCTCCAGGCCGGCACTACTTGGTGGAGAGGGGAGGGCATGGCACCATGGATGGGGCTCAACAGGAAGTAGGGAGCATGGACATAGCCCCAGCTTGGCCACGTGATAGCTGTGTGACCTTGGACAAATCCCTACCCCTCTCTGGGCTCACTTGTCTTTCCTACACTCTGGAAGATTGAGCTAGAGCTATTAACCCCCACCCTCGCTGCCCGCCAGAGCCCTCTGCAGGAGCACAGGAGAGACTGGGCGTTAGAGCTCTTTGGAAGCTGTAGCTTGCGAGATGGAAGCAGTGGTCGTGGGATCTCACAGGGGAAGGGTGACCTGAGAGCATGGGCCTGGGGGCAGGGCCATCTCTGTGGGGTCAGGCAGACACATACCACCATCAGGGGCCCTCACCCCCTCTCTGCCACCACTGCTCCCTTGTCCTGTGTTTGTCATAGGCCGTGACTTCCCTGGGCCCACCGTCTCTTAGGAAAAGCCAGTGCCCCCTGTCTGGCAGCCTCACTGCCCACTGTGACTGTGCTCACAAAGCGCCCAGCTTCAAGGAGCCACACATCCCTTCCTTGCCCTTCTTTTGCTATACCCTGCGGCCACCCCAGAGACCCGTCCTTAGCCCACACCCAGCCAAGCCGGCCCCTCCTCTCCACAGTGCTTCCCACACTGCCTCGTGGCCCTCCTTCGCCTCTCCTACCCCAGCCCACAAAGACCTAGCTCCTCAGGACCCAGCTTCAGCTGCAAGTGACAACCCCTTCCTCTGCCCTTCATCCTGTTGAACTTAGTGACTTTCAAAGCAAATGACACATCCAGGCTTAACCAGAGGCTCTTATCCCAGGCAGCACCTCATGCTCCACCACAGCCACTGCCCTGTCCAGGCAGCCCTGGCCTAGATGTGCCTCCTCTTTGGGGTCACATGCCCCCAGGGCTCAATCTCACTTCCTACCGCAGGCTGAGGCTTAAGAATAATAAGTTCTTACCCTTCAGATGTATTTTTAACTTAATCCTCAAAAACTTCTTACAAGGTCACTATTATGATTATCTTCATATTACAGTTGGTGTCATGAAGTCCAGAGAGGCCTTGGGTGTTGGCCAAGGCCACTGGGCCTTTCTGACTCAGCATTCATTCCGGTACGTGGGAGCCAATGCATCACCCAGGAAGGGCGACCAGGCCGGGAGGCCTTGGGAGGAGAGCATTTCACTTGGGCATCAGCCTCAGGCGTTGCTCTGAGCCAGTTGCAGCAGAGGTGGTAACAGGAGGGCCATGCTCAGGCAGTCAGACGCTTCTCCAAGTATCCGGCTTAGGGTGCCCCCCACCCCATTGCCTGTCCCATTGTCACTGGGTGAAAGGGCAAGGGAGTGTGAGGACCTGCTGACGTGGGCGCCCAACTTGGAGGGGTGCCAGCTGGGTGGAGCCACTCCCAGGGGGCCCTGGAGCTTCTGGGAAGTAAGTGGGAGTTTGGCAAGACCCGTCTGCCTGCCAGCAGGCCCGCTGCCTGCCTGGTCCTTGCCCATGTCGCGCTTGGCTTTATGAGGCAGGGGGCAAAAGGTGTTCTCTATCTTCTCTCCTCTGTCCAGGCCTTCGAGTCTCTGGGTGAGGGGCTGCATCTGTCCTTCTGTGTGGCTGACTCTCTGAGGACCCTCTCTCGCAGTACCTGCTGGGCTGATCAACCAGAGCAGATGTTCTGACCGGGAGACTCTGGCCACTGCCTCTCAGAAAACTACCAGGACTATCCATACCGCCTCCTCTCCCAGCCTCCTCTCCCTGAATCCAACATAGGTTTTAAGGTTCTCAGATCCAGAAATACCCTTAGCCATCATTTGGTTCAGTCTTTACATCGTACAGATGAGGAAATGGAGGCCCAGAGAGGGAAAGCAATCTGTTCAAGGTCACACAGCTTGTGAATGCCAGAACCAGGATTATAACCCAGGATACTTGGTTCTAAAACCAATGCTCTGTCCACTGCCCTCCAGCTCAGGTATGACCAGGGCCTCTTCATTCAATCATGGCCCAGCAGCTCCTACTTGGGAGCAACTCAGCTAAGAGGTGGCCTGGGACCCTGGCTGGAGGCACAGAATCCACCTAAGGAAGCCAGGTGGCTGGACATAAAAATTAATTGTTAGTGTAAATATTTTAGGGCAGCAGGAAAACCAAGAGATCAGAGGCAAACCCTGGGCCACCTCAGTTCCTCTGTTTTCCTCCCAGAATCACCAAGGAGGTCAGAAACTGGCTGAAGCTGTCTTCCAGGGAGATGCGGGGTGGGGATGGTGGTGTGGGAGTGGGATTGGGTCTGGTCCTCCCTTTTACTGGTCTTTCTCTCCCTGTGGCTTATTTCCTTCTATTCAAAGCACAACTAGCCACTCTGAGCCCTTGGTCATGGCCTTGGCTGGACTGGGCTTGGCTGCTTGTTTCCCACTGGCCTCCTATGCCTGCTAGTCTGCTTGCTTGACCTCCTACCCTTGGCCTAGCTGGCCACAAGGCCAGGATGCTGGCCACAGCCTTGGGCAGAGGAAAGAGCATGGGGCTAGGAGGCAGGAGATCTGGGGTCTGACCTGACCCTGATCAAAGACAGCTTTGTGTCTTGGCAAGTTCCTTCTGGGCCTCAGGTTTCCTCATCTGTGACATGGAAGATAGGGCAAGAGATGAGGTTCCCAGCTTTTCCCACTGCCTTTTATTATTTTCTCTGTTCACTCACCCATTCACAGAGGCAAAATTTTGGAAGATTTTATTTATGAAGTTCGATGTGGTGATCAGTGCAGTGTGGATACTCTTTAGAGCAGGCACTGAATAAATCATTGTTAGAACCATAATTAATTTCTTTCCCCATCAAAATTAATTAAGCACACATCTGCCAGTCAGAAAGTCTGATTAGCCTGAGATAATTGACTCTTTGAGATGGAGTTAAGTTATTGTTGTATGTTTGAAATACTGAACACAGGGAGAGGATCTCTGCAGTTTAGTGGAGTAGAGAAGATCACAGGCTCTGAAGCCAAACAACTTTATCTTTGGCCACACTGCTTAATCCACTGTGCCTCAGTTTTCTCGTCTGTAAAATGGGAATAATGAAGTACTCACTTCATAGACTTGGTGTGGGGACTTGATTGAGTTCATAGACTTAACATGCTTAGGACATTGAGATCAATAAATATGAATTATTAATATGAATATTTTGGGGAGCACCAAGATTTGATGATCTTTAAAGTTCCTTTCAGTGCCAACATTCTATGATCAGTGTTTACTCAAGTTATTTTTCTGAAATACCAGTTCCATGGAATGTTAACAACTGTTGGATGAGAAAAGAGTTGCTTGGCTCAATTAAATTGGGGAAATGCTGAATTTAACAGGATTCACCATCATTTGATTTGAGCCTAGGCTTTCTCAGGGCTATGTATGTGTTCATGTGCAAGGTCGATCAAGGCCAGGAAAAGGTGCCTGTCTTCCCACTTCCTTGACCGTGGAGCACTTTTCTCATAGTGCACATTACCGAGCAAGTGTTTCTGGGAGCACAGTTTGGGAAACGCTCCTGTGCAGTATCAAGAACCTCTGAGGTCCTTCCCCCAGGTCTCTGACGATATGATTCTTTGATCTCCTTCTCTGGGTGGCCCAGCCCTTCTGTAGATTAGAAACCACAGCCCTTGGCAATGCCAGCTGTGCCTGTCTCCAGGCTGACCTAGTTATCTAATGTAAATAGGCAATGGCTGGGCTAATGTTTGTCCTGAGGGAAGGTGGATGAGGGACCTGTGGCCTGAGGTGCCCAAAGGCCGTGAACTCTGGGCTGATGCCGAAGTGACCTCAGTGTGGCTTGGGCCTGGTGTGGCAGCCAGAGAGGAGTGCGGGCTTGGGGGAGACAGAGGCAGCTCTGGGGGCTGCAAGACACAGGGAGGGCCCTCAGAGGAAGGCTGGGCTCCCCTGCTGGATGGCAGAGGGCAGCTGGGCTCAGAGGGCACCCAGGGGAGGGCCCACGAGGAACCAGCTCAGGCGCCTGAGGCACAGACATGGAGCCGCCCCTCAGTTGTGGGGATGGCAGCAGTGTGGAACCAGGAAGTGGGACTGCAGGCTCTGAGGGAGCCTAATTGGCATGTTAAAGGAGATGAGGCGGAAGGAGCCTAGCTTCTGTGCCCAGGTCTTGGGGGAGGAGAGGAGGGAGGGGCTGCAGCTTGGTGGAGACGGGAGGAGGGCGCAGGTGCTCTCCCTCCTCCTGTGAGATGCAGCTCAGACACTGCCTTTCCCGAGAACCTTCTGGGAACCTTCTCTGGGCACTGAAGAGGCCTCTCCTCCCTCTGCCCCTCTCAGGCCCCCACCCTGTATTTGGGCACTCATGTCCACAGAGGAGTCCTGCAGGGCTGGCTTGTCCCCTCAGTGTCCAGCACAGGCCTGGGGTGGGAGGGCTGCAGAACCCAGAGGCTCCAGTTCTGAAGGACTCTGAGGTCTGGGATGGTGATGAGAAACCACCCCTTAGACATCCAGGATGGGGACGGGAGGTGGCCCTTGGCAGGAGGGCCTCGGGTGACTCATAGCTCCTGCCTTCACTGTGGCCTCTGGCCCCTTCAAAATGAGGTCAGCTTCAAGGTTCAGAAGGAATCCCCCCTGCACTGGGCCTGGGCAAGCCCCTAGCTAGGCCTGGGAACCACCGGGTCTCATGGAGCTGGGGTAGGGGTGGGACCAATGTACAGAATGGGATCTGGAGTTTGTCCCTCTTCAGGCCAGAGCTCCTGGGAAGGACAGCTCTGAAGCACAGCACCTATCCGCTTCTTCTGCCCTGCCCCTTCCCGAGGCCTCTCTTCCCATTGTCCCATCTCCTCTCCCAGCTCTTCCCCCCACTACCCCCAGCAGCTTCTCTCCCTGCCCCATGCTTCCTCCTGGACTCCCCACTCTTGGGCCCACTGCTGTCTCCTCTCTTGCCTTGAGCTGCCTCCCATCCACAGGTGGCCCTAGTACTGATCTTGGGGCCTCTGATGTAGGACAAACCCCCAAAGCCCCCATCCCCCACCCTCCTCAGGCCCATGTGTGATGCAGGGAGCTCAGAGGGAGGGTGCTGGTGTCATGGAAAATCCCTGCGGCAGCCAAGGTCAGTGTTTGCAGACACAGCCTGGCCTAGAGCCAGGCCTGCCTCCCTGGCCAGCTCCTTCTGGCCCATCCCAGAGGCCGGCTTTGTGCAGAGGCCCTCAGAGGCACCCCAGGGCTGCTCTGGGTGCCTGGGGATAGGGACCTTAGGAGCGATCAGTCCTGGTGTGACAACGTAGTTCAACCCACTCGTTTTTTGTTTTGTTTTGTTTTGTTTCTTTGAGACGGAATCTCGCTGTGTTGCCCAGGCTAGAGTGCAGTGGCATGACCTCAGCTCACTGCAACCTCCACCTCCTGGGTTCAAGTGATTCTTCTGCCTCAGCCTCCCGAGTAGCTGTGACTACAGGTGTGAACCACCACATCCGGCTAATTTTTAGTAGAGACGGGGTTGCACCACATTGGCCAGGCTGGTCTCAAACTCCTGATCTCAAGTGATCCACCTGCCTCGGCCTCCCAAAGTGCTGGGATTACAGGCATGAGCCACGGTGCCCTTCCCCCCACTCATTTTATAGATGGGTAAACTGAGGCTGAGAGAGGAGCAGGGACTAGCCCAAGGTCACAGCAACTCAGTGACACAGCTAGGACTGGAATCCAGGGCCCTCATGTCATCTTTTACTGCCCTATGCTGCAGAAGGGAGCATCTTGAAGTCTGTTCTGATAGGCCAAGGAGTAACAAGGGCTGGTGAAACACTTCTGTTACACAAGGGCTAGCTTGAGGTTGTGCTGGACTTGAGTTGGTGATGTAGCCAGGAGAAATAGACCTAGATGATCTATTGATGAGGTCCCTGACCTCAAAACACTTTCCATCTGGGATTGAATCAAATGAAACCTCTCAGTGGAAGCACTTTGAAAACTTCAGTGCCCTGTATAAAGCAGAGGTTATTATTACACAAATTATTAAAATGCATGGCAAAGGTGGGAAATGTTTTAGGAGGGATTTAAGACAGAAGCCGAAGGAGGGCTGGACATAGAGAACTTTGGTTGGGTTATCAGGGAGGGCTTCATGGAGGAGGTGACATTTGCTCTGAGCTCTGAAGGGTGGATAGGAAATGCAGGGTTCTGATGAGGGGAGCTACTGAGGCAAGGATACAATGTTAGGATGACACATGATGTGTTAAGGTCAGAGAAAATAGACCTGCGTGGGACTGGTGGGTGTGCTCACAAATGGGGTTGGTGTGGGGGCCAGCGGACTCTCTCAGAAAGGCAGCTGCATGATACGAATCAAGAAGCTTAGAAATGTGTCTACCCAGTGGCCCTGCAGTGGCACTTCTAGGAATCTCTGCTCGGAAAATAACCAGAGATCAGAACAAAGATTTATGAACAAGGATGTTTATAGCAGCATTTTCATTGTGAAAAATTGTAAACAGTCCAAATATCCACCAATAGAGTTTGGTTAAACATATTAAGGTATATTTATGTGGTGGAATATTGTGTGACCATTAAAGTGCAGTTCTTGAACAGTCTCTTGATTACATAGAAAACTACCACATCATGTTAAATTAAAAGAGTAGGAGACAACGCTTTCTATATTGTGGGATCCCACGCTAATATGAAAATATGAAAAATGTGGCTGGGCACACTCGTTCATGCCTGTAAACCCAGCATTTGGGGAGGCTGAGGTGGGAGGATCGCTTGAGCCCAGGAATCCGAGACGAACCTGGGCAACACAGTGAGACCCATCTCTAGAAAAAAACGAAAAATTAGCTAGGCATGGTGGCTTGTGCTTGTGGTCCCAGCTACTCAAGAGTCTGAGGTGGGAGGATCCCTTGAGCCCGGGAGGTCGAGGCTGTGGTGAGCAGTAATTGCACCACTACACTCCAGCCTGGGTGACAGAGGGAGACCCTGTTTCAAAAAAAAAAGTGTATTCACATATACATTTTGTATGAGTACACACACATATATAGCTGTAAGGAAATATTCTAAAGCTCATATAGCTTATCTCTGAATAATGGGCTCGTGATTAATTTTAATTTTCCTCTTATAAATTCTTCACTACAAAAAACTATTACTTTTGTAAGTAGAAAACGATGAATATTATAAACCTAAAAACAGCACAAGTTCTTCTGGCGTTCTTGGAACAGGAAGTACAGTTGAAAAGTGAAGATCGTCAAGGTGAGAAGGGGCCAAAATTTGAGGTGCTTTCAAGGGTGGGTTCAGGAATGAAGTCTTCGTTTTAAGGCAATGAGGAGCCATGGATGGCTCCTGAGCAGGGGAGGGCTGTGCTCAGAGAGATATTGAGCTGAATGCCTGGCAACCCTGGGCAGGGGCGTGGCTGTGGGAGATGGGGGCAGGTGGATCCACTGAGGTCCTCTGCATGGTCCAGTTGTCAAGTGCTCAGGCCTGAGCTAGAGGGAAGCGGAGGATCCAAGAGTTCGGGATGAGAGGAGGAGGTAGGGGCGAGGGGCCGAGAAAGGAGAGGACAGGAAGGGGCGAGGGGAGGAGAGTGGATGCATGGTGTGTGGGATGCCCTGCATTCATGGGTGAAACTGTAAGCCCCATGAGGACAGGGGTTCTCATCTCTTTTGTTTGCTACTGGATCCCTCACACCTGGAAGGGGGCTTGGCACAGAGCTGCTGCTTCATCAATTTCTGTTGAATGAATGACTGAGGGAGAGGGAGGCATCAGAGATGAGCCTGAGGTTTGAACAGAATGGAGACGGAGAGGATAAGCAGAGCGTGAGGGCTAAAGCAGGCAATGCCACACCACCAGCCAGTTATCCTGGGGGTCCTGGGCAGGGCCCTGACCTGGGGCCGGTGGGGCCTGTTCTAAGCTAGCCATTGAGCCAGGTGCCATGGCCCAGGCCTGTGGCCTGTCTGCATCCTCATGACCAGCTGGACAGGGCATCTGTGAGCTCAGAGCTTCTAACAGATTGGATCTGGTGGGGTTTTAATTAAATGAATCCACCAGGAACAGCCTGGCATTGAGAAAGGAATTCCACAGCACAATTTAAAGTGGACTTGGCCCTCTTCGCGGATGGCTGAGGTGCCAGTTTTCCCCCACATGCTTTTTTCAAGGCCCTGTCCATGACGCTGGCATCTGGCTGGCCCGAGTCTTACACATTTACACTCCCAGGCCTTTCCTGTTGAGCCCATTGAGGAGAAACAGGGGTGTGTTGGTATCTCCTTGCCACAATCTCCTAAAGGGAATGAACTTCTCCCAACTGGAAGCCCTGTTGGGTCTGAGGAGCAGCAGAGGCCAGCCTAGGTGTAGGCCCAGAGTCTGGCTGCCTGAAATCTCACCCAGTGGGCAGTGTTATGGGGGCAGGGCGGGGCCCAGAGGGTGATGGTGCATAGGAATTACAAAGTACTAGGAGTCAGGAGGCCTGGCTACCATCCTAGCTCTACTATTACCTTGCTGTATGACAGGGGTCAGCAAACTGTTTCCTGTAAAGGGCCAGATAGTAAATACTTTAGGCTTTATGAGTCTGTGGTCTCTTGCAACTACTTGACTCTGCCATAGAACCAAGAAAGAAGCCATGGATACTACGTGACAATGGGCATGGCAAATTTAGTGTTCCAATAAAACTTTATTGACAGCAACAAGTGGTGGGCCAGATTCAGTCCATAGTCCCTAGTTTGCTAAGCCTACTGCAGGGTGTTTGTTAAGCCACGCCAGCTCCCTGAGACTTATCTGAGTCAGTTTTCTTATCTCAATTTTTCCTACCTTCAAAAGAGAAGTTAGATTAGAAGATCCCTTATGTCTCTTCTTCCCTGAAAAGTTGTATTTTAGCATTGAGTAAATCGCTAGTTGCTCCTATTCCATGTACCATGCAGAGGCCCTGAGGAGAGGGGTACATTTTGAGCAGGATCTGGTGCCTAAACCTGGCTGCGGACATGGTGTCAGCAGCTCTTGGGAGGGCCCCTTTCCACATTTCTGGACACTGCTCGTGCTCTTTGTTCTGCCTGTTGGGCTTCTACTCCTCCATCAAAGCCCATTTCAAAAGTCACCCCCTCTCTGAAACCTTCCCTGATCTCACCCACCTAAACAAATCAGTGCTCCAGGGGCCCTTTGTTCATTACTCATCATCCTTCAAACATTTCTCCACTCCAACCAGCAGGTGTTTTTGAGTCCTTAATATGTGCTGTGCTCTGAGTTCTAGAATAATAATCCCTTGTATTTCATTTGTGCAGGACTTTATCAATTACAAAGCAATCTCTATACATTCTATTGTTTGAGCTTGCATTGCTGTCCTTTAGAGGAGGTGCTATTATTCCTATTTTACAGATGTGGAACCTGAGGCTCAGAGAGAGAGACAGTGTTTCATCTCAGGCCATAAATGGTAGAATCAAACTTGAAATTCAAAGGCAGTTTTTTTCTGCTGCACTTGGCTGCCCCGGGACTCTTCACACCAAGATGGAAGTCAGAAGACCTGGGGTGTGGTTCTAGTTGTGCTGCTGTGTGATCCCAGGCAAGACGCTGCCCCTCTCTGGGCCTCGAGCGCTTCTTCTGGGAAATGAAGAACTTAGAAGACATTCTTGAGGCCCTTCAGCGTTCTAGGATTGTGGGCTTTCAGAGGGCCACATTCTCTCCCTCACAAACAGTGGAGACAGCAATAGTTTCAGTCAGACAAAGGCCACTGGGAATGTCAGCTGGCCCAAAGCAATAACACTGGGCATTTGGGTGTATGCCAGACCGACAGTCCTGGTGGGCACTGATCAGATGCTGTGGAGAGGGTGAGGGACCTGGGGCCGGCCTGGCCAGCCCAGCTCTGATTGTAACATTCCCCAGCTGAAGCGGAGGGGCAGGCAGAGCTAGGTGGAAAATCCCCGACCCGGCCCCTACACCCTCCCGGCCCTCAGGGGCACATGGAGTCAGGGAGGAGATGGCCACGTGTCCCTGCCTGAGTCTCCCATGCCAAGACAAGCCAGAACATTTGGGAATCGTGTTGGTACCCAGCTTCTCCTCTACTCCCTGCCACTCATCTCATGCAGGAGACCAGGATCTTGGGGACTTGGGCCTTTGCTTTCTTTCATTTATTTAGCTGCTGCTGCTTTTTATTTTGGCTGTCATTTTGTCCTGTAAGTCTGTACGCAGAGGCTATCGAGGGCAGGGGTACTGCCTTGTACTTCTTAGTGGCTCAGTGCCTGGCACACAGCAGCTAATGGTGGTAGTAACAACAAAAGCAGCCGTAGTAATAATAAAACTCACATTTATTAAGCACCTGTATTCCAGACGCTGTACACTGTAGTAAGTGCTTTCTGCGCATTCGTTTATTTAGTCTTCACAAACATTTTAGATGAGTATTATGTCCACTTTGCAGATAAGGAAACTGAGACACAGAAAGTTTCCATGACTCATTCAAGCCCACACAGCTAGTGAATGTCTGAGCCAGGGGACAAGCTCAGGCCGGTCACCTTGTCCAGTCTAACTAATGTTAGTTGAATGGATGCTGCATGCCAGAAGGCAGGTGCCCTGGCTTTTCAGCTAAGGAGACTGGGCTGAGTGAGTGGTTGGTGATTTGGACAAGGCCACACAGGTATGTGGCCTCCAGGGTCTCTGGGCTGGGGCCCAGGGATCAGGATCCATGGCCCATCTAAGGGGACCTTGATGCATCCCTCCTTATTTATTTATTTATTTATTTATTTATTTTGAGATGGAGTCTCACTCTGTCACCCAGGCTGGAGTGCAGTGGCATGATCTCGGCTCACTGCAACCTCCGCCTCCTGGGTTCAAGTGATTCTCCTGCCTCATCCTCCTGAGTAGCTGGAATTACAGGTGTGTGCCACCACTCCTGGCTAATTTTTGTATTTTTAGTAGAGACAGGGTTTCGCCATGTTGGCCAGGCTGGTCTCGAACTCCTGACCTCAAGTGATCCGCCCACCTTGGCCTCCCAAAGTACTGGGATTACAGGCCTGAGCCACTGCATCCTGCCTGCATCCCTCCTCTTAAGGTTGTTCTGGAAAATGATGGCCTGGGGAGGACAGGCAGGCGGGTGCTCTCTCCAGCTCTGCTTCCTGATCCTTCCTGCTCAACCCCTCCCCAGCAGCAGTTGGGCCTGAGAGTGCACAGTCCCCAAGCACTGTGTCCCAGGGGTCCCCAACATAGTGAGCAGTGCAGGGCCATTCCTGTTGAATCCCTGTGGCTCACTGGGCGGGGTGGTGTCCATTCAACAGTCGGGGACACCGAAGCCTGGAAAGATTGGGTGTGTCGCCTGCAGTTGCAGCTCCTGAGTTGGACCTGGGACCCCAGCCTCTTGATTCTGGGCCTGCTGCTTCCCCTCCACCCACACTGCCTCTCTGAGCCCATCTCTTGCTAGGTGGCTGGGTGACCTTGCGGTTAGAAGACAGCATGTAAAATAAAGTGTCCAGTACAAGGCCTGGCGTGTGGAGGGTCTCACAAAGTAGGAGCTCTTATTAACACATACATGTTTCTTTCTTTTTCTTTTCTTTTTTTTTTTTCAAGACAGAGGTTTTGCACTGTTGCCCAGGCTGGAGTGCAATGGCGCGATCTCGGCTCACTGCAACCTCTGCCTCTTGGATTCAAGCGATTCTCCTGCCTCAGCCTCCAGAGTAGCTGGGATTACAGGTGCCCACTACCACGCCTGGATAATTTTTGTGTTTTTAGTAGAGACAGGGTTTCACCACGTGGGCCAGGCTGGTCAGGAACTCCTGACCTCATGTGATCCACCCATCTTGGCCTCCCAAAGTGCTGGGATTACAAGTGTGAGCCACAGCACCCAGCCCTTTTTTTTTTTTTTTGAGATGGATTCTCGCTTTTTCGCCCAGGCTGGTGGTACGATTTTGGCTCACTGTAACCTCCAGCTCACTACAACCTCTGCCTCCTGGGTTCAAGCAATTCTCCTGCCTCAGCCTCCCAAGTAGTTGGGATTACACACCCAGCAAATTTTTTGTATTTTTTAGTAGAGATGGGGTTTCACCATGTTGGCCAGGCTGGTCTTGAACTCCTGACCTCAGGGGATCCGCCCGCCTCGGCTTCCCAAAGTGCTGGGATTACAGGCATGAGCCACCGTGTCCGGCCCACATACATGTTTCTAAGCCCAGCTCTGTGTTGCCATTCACCACTCAGAAACCTTCCTTAGTTCCCCCAGTCCACACAATACAGTCTGGGGGTTTCCTGGCCAGTAAGTGGACTCTCCATCCACCACCTGATCCCGCCCTACTGGCCTGGCCTCTCCTGACTCCCTCACCATTTCTGGTCCCATCTGTCCCATGCCTCGCCTCTGAGCACTTCCACTGCTGCAGAGTCACTGGAGTCGCTGCTGCCCTGACTTCCCTCCCTCATCTCTTCTGGCCTCCAATGAAAGCCCCAGGGCTGCCTCCTCCTTTCGCAGTCTCCCCGGAGAATGGCATCTTCTGCCCTCACCACCATCTGCCAGGTATTAGGTTTTGCGTGGAGATGGCCCCTCTCCTACTGGCCTGCCTTGCCCAGTGCCCACAGTGGAAAACTAGCAGATCCATGAAGCTAGTCTTGATGAATGGGTTGGGTGTGGTGGGGGGAGCTTGGGGCATGTGTGGCCCCATCTCCATCTTCTGCTCCTCACTCTCCATTCTGGTCATCGCCCAGACAGCTCTGGGCTGGCAGGGAATTTGGAAGCAGATGCCAGGAGATGTGAAAGGAGGCTTTTCTTAGGCTCAGCACCCTCCCCAGGGCTCAGGAGCTCAGATGGTGTAGGTTGGCATAGTGCCCAGGAAGAGAGGGACTCCAGGCAACAGGGACTTCAGCCTGGAGGCAGCTGCTGGGGACCTTCTCTCCCTCCGAGCCAGCCTGCAGACATGAGGTCCCCACCCCCAACATTCACATGTGTGTGCGCACTCCTACACACACACACACACACACACACACACACACTCCAACACCCAGCCTCTCCCCTACTGTGGCCTCTGGGCACGCCTCTGCCCACCATCCCGATAGGTTATAGGGTGGACAGACACAGGGAAGGGGGACATCTGCACAAAGGGAGAGGCAGCACCTCACAGGACCTGGCCTCTGGGCCTCCCACTCCTTCCACTGTTCTCACAAGCTCCAGGCCCTTAGGGATCTAAAGAAGCCACTGAATTCAGCCTCCCTTCTCTCCAGCCAAGGGGACACAGACTCTTCTAGGAGGCTAAGAATCCACCACTCTCCGTAGAAACATACTCACTCAACCCTGCACCCTATAGGAAATGCTCTTTCTGCAGAATGAAGTGAACAAGCCTTCGGTTGCTTGACTCAGTCTGTCCTCCGTGGAGACAGCAAACAGTTGTCCCCATCCTCGGGGACACTGCCCTTTACACGGAGACAGGGAGGCAGTACCCACCTCAGCCTGTTTCTGAGACCTGACTTGCCCTGGGCTTGTTGCTCTCTTCTGACCTCTGATTTTCCAGCCTTTCCAGTGGCCTCGGCCATCCTGAAGCCCTCCAGCTTCTCTGCACCCACTGTTCACAGTGCAACATTGGCAAGAGATCAGCCAGGCCAGGGTATAAGAGGAGAGTGACTTCCTGGCTCCTGTGATCTATAGAGGCTGCCTGTTTATGCACTGGTGTCCTGAGCTTGCTTTTTATGGTGCCAAGAGCTCCAAGCTGGGCAGCCTCCCGAGGACCCAGGCAATCTCCCCAGGACCCAGCTCCCCCCAGCTGCAGCTTACAGTGCTACCCTGCTCCCTCCCCCCAGCCCCGATATGGAATCTGGGCAAGCTGGCTTTCTCTGCACTTGACTTTATTCGAATGATTAAATGCCTCTGTCACTGATCCTCCTCTCCAATTCAAAACAATATTAGCTAACATTTATAGAGCGCTTACTACGTGCCAGGCACTGCTCTAAGCGAGCTAATATATGTACGTTGTGTAATCTTCAAACGACCCTATTGGTATATATTATTATTATCCCCATTTGAAGATGCAGTAACGGAGCCACAGAGAGGTCAAGCAGTTGCTCAAGATCACACAGCAAGTAAATGCAGAGCTAGGTTCTCCCTCATACTCTCTCCCCTATACTGCCTCCCTTCACTCCAGGCAGCCTGGATTAGGGTTCAGCCAAACAGAAAACGTGGAGGGCAGGTCTCAGGGCTGGTGGGAAAGGGAGAAATTGGAGTGGAGACTTCCAGACTGGGAGTCACTCCTCTAGGGAGAAAGATGTGCCTTGGAGGGGACTTAGTGGGAGAGTGCGGGGCAGCATGTTTATATGGGAGTTAATCACGCTGTTCCTTGATGTCTGCACCAGTTCAGTTTATTGCACACTTCAGAGCGTTTTCACGGTGAGTAAGGCAATGTCACTTTCATTCATCCCACTGAGAAATGAGGAGGCGATGCTGGGACAGGTGAGGTGACTCGGTCAAGGTTAGGCAACATGTGTATCAGCTTCATGACAGAGACGTGGTAATTTCCCAGGGGTCTTCTGCTGCCAGCCCACCTGCTTGCCACAGGCTGGACTCTGGGCTTCAGTGCAGCAAGAACCCCCCTGGAGCCAGTCAGTGAGGGGCTGGTTAGCTCCGGCACTCAGGGCGGGACCGTGAGGGAGGGGGCACATTTTGCCCTGCTCCATTCCTGGCCCAAATTGGCACAGGCACCTGGGAAGGGCAGCCGGCCAGCCACGTGCCAGTGTTACTTTAAAAATAAACCAGGGGAGAATGAGACAAAAATAACCCCGGGGATATGTGGGGAGCTAATTACTACTGCAGCCCCCTGTCAGGCTTTCGGGAGAGCGGCTGGACCTCCGTGGTGTCTGGGTGTTGGGTCTGCTCTATTCATCTCTTCCAGCTGAGAATCGGGTGCCAGGCCCTCCCAGAGAAGCTGGGAGCAGCAGGGCCTCAGAATCCCAAGGCCTTAGAATCCCAAGGGTCAGAGCTGGAGGCTGCTACAGACATCCCAGACAGCCTCCTTTATCCCAGAGACCAGGGTAGGGAAGGGGAGCCAGGCTGGACAGGCCCCCATCTCCTGCCAGGGCTTCCCTCTTCCCCCCTACACTGTCTGTGGGCCTTGCACATGACTTCCCACTGGAGTCACCTGGCTCCAAAAGGGTCTTTGAGTTCCCAAGCCCCTCCCCTCTTCTCTGAAGCCTGTGTGTGAGTGGTGGCAGGCACCGGTGGGTGTTGCTGGCTACCACTCCCTATTTAGGACTTGGGCCCACTGCTCTTCATCTGCACCCTTCTCGAGAAGCACCGAGGCCCTTCTTGACCCATCAGGATAAGGAGGCACGGCCCTGCCAGCTCGCTCCTGGCTGCCTCTGGAGGCATCGATGGACTGTGCGCTTGCATCTCATCTCTGGGCCCCTGTGCTGAGCCCAGCTAGGCCCAAAGATCCCCAAGCTCTTTCCCAAAGAGCAGTCGGGGGACAGGGGCCACACTTCTGTCTCGCAGGCCCAGGTTCCCTGCAAAGCTCTTGGTTACTCTTCAGCCCCCCACCCTTGGCAGAGGGTGCGGGAACATCTCGCAAGGACAGGGTGGGAGGGACGTGGGGCCCAGCTGAGGACACAGCAGAGGACAGACGTGCAGGATCAAAGAGAAAAAGCAGAGCTTTCCTGGAGGAGGGAGGCAGAGGCCAAGACGGCTGGAAGCTGACAGAAATGATCAAAGGACAAGGATGGATGAGGTGGGAGGGAATGTGGAAGGCGGCGGCAGGGTAAGGCAGGCGGAGCTGGTGGGGCTGGGGTGAGGGACTGCTGAGGAAGAGCGGGGGCTTTGGAGTCAGACAGGCCCGGACTCGGCTTCCTGGCAGTAGCCCTGCGCCCATCGCCTTGCTGGGCCTCAGGCCTCATTTGCTTGAGGGATATAAGGCTAACTCCCTCATGGGTCTCTGCAGGGGGAGGGTGTGAAGCATTTACGGAAAGGCCTGAAAATAGGGCGAGCTGTGGTATAGTTGCTCTTTCCCTGCCTCTCCTGGAATCTGGCCTCACTGTTCCACCTCAGGCCGACTCCCACCACCCTCCCCTTCCCTCGCTCCTGGAGCAAGCTGTTGAATGTTGCACTGCTTTCATGGCCAATGTCTCCGGTGACCGCCATGCTGCAGATCTACTGGTGGTTTCCATCCTATTTGACCTCTAAGCAGTGGCCAGCTTGGTTGACTGTTCCCTCTCTGGAAACACTCCCCCTGGCCTCTGGGCCACCACAGTGCCCAGGCCTCCTTCCCATCTCCTGGCAGGCTCCCTTCCTTGCTTGACCTCCCAGCACTGGAGGAAGGGCTGGGCGCTCTGCTCTTCTTGCCAGCTCTACCCCCTTCCCAGCTGATCTCATCTGGCGCATGACTTTCAATATTATTTCTATCTGATAACTCCTGAGTTGATATCTCAGCTTTGACTTCTCCCTCGAGCTGCAGACTTATCTGTCTAACTGCCTTCATGGATTTGAAATGAGCATCTCAAAATTAGGCTGGGTATCCGAAACAGAAGTCTTGAGTCTACCAAACCTGCTACTCTCTGGATGTTCTTTTCCATCTAGTAAATGCACATCCTCCACCTGGTTGCTCAGGTCAAAAACTGAGGACCATTCTCGATTGTTCTCTTCCCCCAACTCCTACAGCCCTCTCCTCCAACATATGTATCGTACCCATCAGCCAGTGCTGTCTCCTCTGCCTCTCAAACATAGCTCAATCCACCCACAAGCTCTGTCTCCACCACCACCACGCTGGTCCAGTCCGCCACCATCCTCTCTTTGGAGGGGTTGACCTGCGGGTGGCCTGGTGACCTGTGGCCTGGCAGTCTCCCTGCTTTTGTTTGCACTGCCACCATCCGATCTTTGCAGAGCAGCTAGAGTGCTCTTGTAAAAATTTAAGTCATGTCACATCACAACCCACTTAGACCCTTCCAGTGACTTCTATCAGTCTTAAAAATCCAAACTCTTTTATTTTTATTTTTTTATTTTTGAGATGGAGTTTTTGCTCTTGTTGTCCAGGCTGGAGTACAATAGCGCGATCTCGGCTCGCTGCAACCTCCGCCTCCCAGGTTCAAGAGCTTCTTATGCCTCAGCCTCCCGAGTAGCTGGGATTACAGGCACATGCCACAACGCCTGGCTAATTTTTTTGTATTTCTTTTAGTAGAGACAGGGTTTCACCATGTTGGCCAGGCTGGTCTCAAACTCCTGACCTCAGGTGATCCTCCTGCCTCAGCCTTTCAAAGTGCTGGGATTACAGGTGTGAGCCACCGCGCCCAGCCAAAAATCCAAACTCTTGACCATGGTCTCCATGGCCCTGCAGTGTCCAGCCCTTACAGATTTCTGCCTCTTCTCCTCACTTCACTCAGCATGCCACAGCCACACTGCTCCTGTTCCTCAACCCACCTGGCACTGGCCTGCTTGAGGCCTTTGCATCTGCTCTTCCCCTGCCCAGAAATCTGTTCTCCCACCTCTGCCTTCTACAGGCCCCTCCTGGAAGGCAGCTCTCCCTCTCACTCTCATCCCCTGGCTTTCTTGTCTTGCTGGCCCTTATTACCATTGAGATGATGTTGTTTATTTTTTACAACATAATTTAGTTTGTTGACTCTCTACTTCCTCTAAAGTGGCCCCATGAGAACAGGGGCTGCTCTTTTTCCCTGCTGAGTCCCTGGGGCCTAGAATGGGGCCTGACACAGGGAAGATGCTCAGAGAGGCCGAGTGGGTGGAGGAATGACTGCGTGGGTGCCTGAGGGGAGTGGAAAGAGTCGGGGACCTGAGTTCGAGGACTGCTTTGTCACTGGACTGCTGTGTAGTGGAGGCACGCCACTGCCCATCTCCCCTGCACCCTGCCTTGGGTCTCATCCCCTCATCTGGAAGAGAGAAGGGTTGGGCTGCATCAGTGGTTCTCAAAGAATCTGAAGCATCTGCAGGACTCTGGGAATTGCCAGAATGCTATCTGCTGTCTGCCTGAGCCTCTACTCTGCAGGTGCGGACCATCAGCAGCACCCTGAACTCACCCCATCCTGGCCAAAGGTTGAGTACATGACTGTGTAGGCTCTGTAGCAGGGAATCACACCAGGCCCCAAAACATTCTGAGTGATCAAACCACAGTGGAGACCCCCAGGGCTAAGCCCTGACCCTGAGAAGATCCAGTGGGTCACTGGTCAAGGTGAAATGTTGAAGGCTGGTGCATGAGCAGAACACAGCTCCCGGTACCCTGGCAGCCTTGGAGCAAGCCCAGGGCCTGGATGGCAGGACTGGCTGCCAGTACACACATCCTGGGCCAGCTGGGGTGCAACAAAACTGTGTCTGCAGCCTCGCTCCTGGCCACTCCCTGTCGGAAGGCAGTGGCTGGGATCAGCCTGCCCTCAGCACCAGTGCTCCCTCCCGCACTCCATTCCAGGGACTACTGTGGGAGCCGTGAGCAGCTGACCCTGTCCGGGTGGGAGGCTCCTGCATTCCAGCAGCCCCAGGGGCTGGGGCAGTGGACTCGCTGTGCTGATAAGCAGGACCTCGGCCACACTCAAGAATGCTCTCTTTCCAGCAAGGGGTGACTTGGAGGTCCTTGACAGAACTCTATTCTTGGGACTAGACACAGAGGAAGTCTCTTCAGGGCTCGGACAGCATGGGGTGAAGCGGGGACAAAAGCGTAATCCTGGGTAGCATGCTTCTCGGGAGGGCTGGAGGGGAGGCCAGGGCAGGTGCAACAGAGACGGCCCCAACTGGAAGGGCTTTAGGTGCCACCAGCCCAGTCCCTCACAGACAAGGCCAGGGGCAGGTATGACTCGCCCCAGGTTTCACAGCCAGGTGGGAGCAGAGGAGCAGAGGAGCAGTGGAGGAGGCTGGATCCCCTCTTTCCTTGGCCCGTCACAGCTGCAAGAAAGGACGAGATGCCTGCCTCTACGAGTTCACTGGCCCACCCCCTGGAAGCAGGCAGGGGACAGCAGGGCCTCTTTGGAGCCCAGGCAGATGAGTGCTCGGGACTCCAGGGCACTTAGCTGGGCACGGCATGCAAGAGGAGGGCTGCCCACTGAGTTTGGTTCCAGGTTTTCTCTCTCCGGCCCCTCCTGGAGGTGGACCAAGGACAAGAGGAGCCCCTGCTCCAGAGCCCCAGGAAGCCCTGGAGGGTCTTACTTTGCCTGACCCTCATGCTGGAAAATCCATGACTCAGAGTCATGCTGAAGAAGGGGGCACCCTGGCTCAGCCTGGCCCCAACCCCAGATTTGTTCCCAGTGGAGGGGGCCTCCCCTGGGCTGACCACCTTCCCTGGGGTTGTTTGAGAGCAGGCAGTGAGAGCTAAAGCCATGAAGCGAAAGACAGACCTGTCCCCAGGACCCCAGGACCCCTACTGAGGCCCTCTCCAGCTCCTCCTCTGGGGGGGAGGGGAAACGACCTTCTCTGGGGGCCACCCACTGACTCCTGATGTCTTGGCCACCTGGCTCACCCCAGGAGCTTTGGCTCGAGGATGAGCAAAGATCTTCCTCAGCCACCTTTGCATGTTTCTGAGACACCAAGGACAGCCAGAAAGAAAATTCTAGCAGCTGGTGAGTGGCCCAGCCTCCCAAGTATGGAATACAGATCCCAACAAGCTCTCTTCTCCATCATCCCAGATCCAGGCTGCAGATTCCAATCGCCTGGGGGGTCCTTCAGACTTGAAGCCTCCTGGGCTTACCTCAGCCCTAATGAATTAACTCCCGTGGGCAGGGTCCTCACACCCATGACTCTGGTTCCAGCAACTGCTGCTACGGGGGTAACCTCCCTACTCAGCACACAAGGGCCGTCTGACCTGCCCCCCACCCCCCTACCTCCATACCAGGGAGCAGGTGAGTTGCCCAAGTCACCCTCAGCAAGGCCTCCTCTCCACTCAGTGGCCACTCTTAAGAACCGTCACTCTGTCCCCATTCTGGTCTCAGATTCCCATCCTGTTCAGTGGGATGGTGTGGACAAAGGCCGGGAACCAAGGCCATTCTGTGACAACTGCCCCTGCCCCCAATGCTGCCTTTTTGCCCCTCATAGGCCAACACAACCCTCTGTGACATCTCTAATATCCCTACTACGGGAATGACCTATTTTCTGCCACTGTCAAGGGGGCAAGGGCACTTGTGGTTGGGGTGGGTCGGGGAGAAGCTAGGTGTTAAGGTTGGGAAGTCTGGACTGGACTCTGGCTCCCACGTTCACTGACCCTCAATTGCAGGAAGTGACCTTATCTCTCAAGTCCAATTTCTTTGTTGGCAAAGTAGGAATAATGATGCCTACACCTTGGGGTTGATATGAGGCTCAGAGACACTCGATGACCGAGTGCTTAACATATCCGTGTTCTGCCATTTGCCAGCTGCATGACTTTGGACACATCCCCTGACCCCCCTGAGCCTCAGTGTTCTCATCTGTAAAATGGGGATAATAATACTGTCTCCAGGCCACATGCAGTGGCTCACACCTGTAATTCCAGAACTTTGGGAGGCCGAGATGGGAGGATCACCCAGGAGTTTGAGACCAGCTTGGGCAACATAGAAAGACCCTGTCTCTACTTAAAATTTAAAAATTAGCTGGGTGTAGTGGCACATGCCTGTGATTCCAGCTACTTGGGAGGCTGAGGTGGGAGGGTCATTTGAGCCAGGGAAGTCGAGGCTGCAGTGAGCCATGATCATGGCTACCCTCCAGCCTGGGAGACACAGTGAGACCCTGCCTCCAAAAAAAAAAGAAAGAAAGAAAATAGTGCCTCCCTCCTAGGGCAGCCATGAGGATTGGATGAGGTAATGCCTGTAAAGGGCTCAGTCCAGAGTAACCTCCTGATGAATGCCAACCTTAGTTCATGACTGTGGTAACAGAGGCAGGCTCCCTGAGGAGCGGCTGCTCCATGTTGGGGGTAAGATCTGTGTGGAACAGTCCAGGGCAGATCCATCTGTTGCGTTGATCGGAGGCTTGCCCTGCCTGGAACTGTCTGTACCGTGCCTGCCCCCAAAGCCCCAGGGAATCTCCTCTGCACGGGCAGGGGGACTAGACCTCATCCTGGAGGAGCGGGCCTGCCCCTGTCTCAGTGCCTGTGTAGATCTCTCCAGGCTGCCCCACTGGGGCCTGACAGTTCAGTTCCCTGGAGAAAGCCCCGGATGGTCCTATGGCTGGAGGGCTGGAATGTGACTCTCAGGATGTTTCCAAGATGGTTATTTCTGAATCAGAGTTGTGGTTAGGAGAGGCCTGTGCATTCCTGATGAGGGACACTGAGTCCATGCCAAGCCTCGGAGCCCGGAGCAGAAATCAAGGAGGGTACGCTTGGGATCCAGAAATTTGGATTTGTGGGAGGGTGTGTGGGAGAGAAAAGGGGTCTGAGAGCAGGGGCCTGGGGTTGTCCATGCAGAAGCTGTGCATTCAGTGTTGGATGGCAGCATCATCTTCAGCTTAGCACCGTCCCGGTGCTCCTGCAAGCCGTCAATAAAACTGTACTTGGTGTGAGCTCCAGAGTGGAACTTTGGCCCAGAAAAGGAAATGGGATAGGGGAGTCAAAAACTCCCTGGGGGCTGACAGAGGGCTGCTGGGTGAGCAGGGTGGGCGGGAAGTCAGGCAATCAGGATTCAGGTCACCATTACCCTTGGGTTCAACTGGAATCACAGGGCACCCACTGCTTCAACTGGGGTCATTGGGGCATTCACTGGTCAGGACTCAGGCAGGGGCACACAGATCGGGCCTATCCTCTGTCTTCCAGTGCTTGTCCACTCAAGTCCACACACCAGAGTCCAGAGCCCTCCAGGATCTGCTCACGAGTACATTTCCTTGGGCATGCTCATGCCCTGGCGTGTGTCATGCTCACCGCAGAAAGCTCTGGCTGCTGATCTTCACCTCCTGAAGTCCTCACGCATTGTTCAAACCTACCCCTGGACACCTTCTCAGACCCTTCTTTGGGTCACTGTACTTGGATTTAGCATGTGCACCATGCAACTTGTGCTTTTCAGATTCCACTGACCCAAGGCTCCTTGGGGAAGGCTCTAGGTCTTAGTTTTTCATTCTCTTGATGCCTCACATAGTGCCTGGCACACAGGAGATTTCGGGACATCTCAAATGATCTTTGGTTAACTGAACTGAAAGGAAGGCTGAAGCCAATTCAATTTGGAAGGGGACCCAGAGGGCCTCAGGGCCCCAAGGACACTCCTGAGTCCCACTCTGGGTGCTCAAACTCTCCAGGCTGCCCCTTTGAAGATAAATAAATCAAAGCATCTCAGGGTTGGGAAGAATCTTAAAAGCCATTTATTGTGACCCTTAGTGGGATATATGGGTGGTGTGATGGCCTTTTTGATGTGTCATCTTGGCTAGGCTAAAGCCCCTAGTTGTTCAATCCAATACCAATCTAGGACTGCTGTGAAGACATTCTGTAGATGTGATTAAAGTTCATAATGGGTTGTCTTTAAGTTTGGGAGATTATTCTAGATAATCTGGGTGGGCCTAATACAATCAGTTGAAAGCCATAAGAGTACTGCTGAAGCTCCCTCAAAGAAGAAATTCTGCCTGTGGACAGCAGTTTTAGCACATACTGAAGAGAGCTCCGGCCTGCCCTTCTTTTGTTTTGAGACAAGAGTCTCACTCTGTCACCCAGGTTGGAGTGCAGTGGTGCAATCTTGGCTCACTGCAACCTCCGCCTCCCAGGTTCAAGCAATTCTCCTGCCTCAGCCTCCTGAGTAGCTGGGATTACAGGTGCCCCCTACCATGCCCGGCTAATTTTTGTATTTTTAGTAGCAACAGGGTTTCACCATGTTGGCCAGGCTGGTCTTGAACTCCCAACCTCAAGTGATCCACCCGCCTTTGACTCCCAAAATGCTGGGACTACAGACATGAGCCACCACGCCCGACCCAGCCTGCCCTTATTGATGGCCTGCCGTATGGATCTCAAATTTGCCAAGCCAGCCCCTACCAGCCTATACACCAATTCCTTGCAACACATCTCTTAATATGTATCTCCTACCAGTTCTGCTTCTGTGGTGGAACCCTGGCTGATACAAGTGGCTTTTGTAGTACGTCCATCCAGTGTCTGCTTGTATACTTCCTGTGATGGGAAGCTCACTACCTCTTGAGGCAGTGCAATTCATCTTTGGTCAGCTTCAATTTTAACAAGTTCTGCTTTACAGTGAACTAAATCAAGTCTTTCTATGAGCTTTACCCACTGCTGCTGGTTCAACCCCTTGGACACACTCAGAGCAAGATTGGTTCTTTCACCTCACAATAGCCCAGCAGATATTTGAAGTTGGGACTCATGCTGTCCATGCCCGCTCTACCAAGTGTCTCTCATTTGACCTGCTGCTCCTCTCCTCTGACAGTCCCCCAGGTTGTTGATGCCCCTTTTAAAGTTTGCATACACACATGGCCCAAAGAAAACAGGTCTTGTGCTACTATCTGCATTCCACACTGTAGCCTGCAGCAGGGTGAGTGTCTGGTAGCACTCTCTCTCATTTTCTCTCTCTCTCTGTCATGTGAGGATGTGAGGACACAGTGAGAAGATGGCTATCTGTAAGCCAGGAAGCCAGCTCTCACAGCCACTGGATCCACACACACTGGGGCCTACTCGAGGGTGGAGGGTAGAAGGAGAGAGAGGATCAGGAAAAATAACTAATAGGTCCTAGGCTTAGTACCTCGGTGATGAAATAATCTGTACAAAAACCCCCCCATGTCACAGGTTTACCTATATAACAAACCTGAATGTGTATCCCTGAACTTAAAATAAAAGTTTTTATTTATTGATTGATTGATTGAGACAGGGTCTGTCTCTGTTGCCCAGGCTGGAGTACAGTGGCGCTTTCTTGGCTCACTGCAATCTCCGCCTCCTGGGTTCAAGTGATTCTCCCACCCCAGCTCCCTGAATAGCTAGGACTACAGGCATGCGCCACCACGCCTCACTAATTTTTGTATTTTTAGTAGAGACAGGGTTTCACCATGTTGGCCAGGCTGGTCTCAGACTTTTGACCTCAAGTGATCCCCTGCCTTGGCCTCCAAAGTGTTGGGATCACAGGCATGAGCCACTGCGCCAGGCAAAATAAAAGTTTTTAAAAAATGTGTGTTGTTCAAGCCCCCAGTCTACAGTAATTTATGATAGCAGCCCAAACTAAGACAGGCTGATGATATGAGGGAGGAGCCAGTTTCCCGCTCTGATGTTTAATCTCTGGGGTACCGGTTTTCCATTGATCTAAGGTGCCTTCCTGGCAGACAGGGGAGGAAATGGCAACAACTGAGGACCAGTGGTCCCCTGTTCCCTGGCCTCCTCATGGGGCAAGCCCTTCTCCACTTCTCTCCTCCCTTTCCATCCACCTTCTCCACTTCCCTTTCTTCTACCTCACGGTGCCAGCTACAGCACCCGGCTCCACCCAGGCTCTCTAGCTGGCTCCTATGGGGCAAGACATAGCATTGCTCCAGCCTCAGGGAAGCGGCCACAGCTCCTGGGCCCTCAGCTCTGACATTTTACCACCAGATTCCCAAGGTCTTTTCCAGCTGCAGACGTTCTTTTTCTTAAAACTGTGGTCCACACATCTCATGGCTATTCCCAGATGTCAGGTCTCCAGGTTCTTTAGAGCCTTGCTACTCAAAATGTGGACAATGGATCTGATCCACAGCATCAGTGTCCCTTGGGGGCTTTTTGGAAATGCAGAATCTCAGGCTCTGCCCCAGACCTGCTGATTCAGAATCTGCATTTACACCAGATCAACCAGGTTATTCCCTGCACATTACAGTTTGAGAAGTATTGACTTAGAGAACTCTGCATTGCTGAGCTGGCCTCCTCAGTTCCCTCTGTGGACTGCTTCCTCTATACAGATGGGAGGACTGAGGTACACCAGGGAAGTGTCTGCTCCTTCCATGATCACAGAGCCAGCAAAGAGACAGACAGAGTGAGAGAGAGAGAGACAGAGAGAGAGATATGATGATGATGATGGTGATGATGATGATGATGGTGATGATGATGATGATGGTGATGATGATGATGAAGAGGGAGAAGCAGAAGCAGCAACAGCAAACAATTTGTCTAAGACCTCTCTAGCATGAAGGCCAGCCTCCTGCCCCACATTCCTGGCAGCCACATGGCCCCTTCACTAAGGGATCTTTGCTGTGTCACTGGAGGAAGCAGGGGTAGTAAGGAACTTGCTTTTGTGAAGGGTGAGGATGGGATGTCAGGCCCAGCCAGAGAGGCCACCAGCCCAGGAGAACTGGAGCTGTGGCTCCAGGCCACAGTTGAGGCTGGCTCTAGCAAATGGGAAAGTGAAGGTGTGACTTGTGGCAGTAGCTTGGGGATGCTGGCTCCAGCTAAGGGGAAGGTCTCTGGGAGCCACCTGGGAGCTGCTGTAGCATGGGCAGTTTCTGCACAATGAGAGAATGTGGACAGACAGGGAGGCGGTGGCATCAGCTGGGCGGTTGACTGCTCTTTGTGCTGCCACGAAAGACATTTGTCATGTGGCTCTCTGAGGACCAGAGGCTGGCGGAGGGGTCAGGAAACAGGGCTCTATGCCCAGCTCTGATGATAGCTGTAAGCATGACCCTTCTCCAGCCTGGATTTTAGTCTCCAAACTGTGAACTGAGAGGATTGGAGCTAAAATTCTGTTCTCTCTTTGGGCTAAATGCTCTATCCATAGTTCTGAGGGCAAGAGACCCTGAAGCTGAGCCCACAACTGAGCACCCTGCATAGACCCTGGTACCCATCTGCCACCGCTAGCTGTGCTCACATGGAAGGAGTCGCAGAGGCTCCATGGGGAGTGGGGGTTGCATGACTCCATGAAGAAATACTCCCTACAGACCTGGGTGCAAGTCCTGGTGCTGTCATTTTATATTTGTAGGGTCCTGCCCAGATTTCTGAACTTCTCTGAGCGTCCTTTTCCTTGACTGTGCAGGATGATGCCGCCTGCCGTCCTGGAGCAGTGTGGAGATTCTGGTGACAGGAAATGTTGTGGACAGCACCCGACCTGTTACAGACACTTGTCCGTTCCCTGTGTCCAAGGTGGAGAGGGAGTGGAGGAGGGAGTGTCCGTCCTGGGTCTCCACTGAGCTTGGCCTAGACCCCCAGTGGTCTCAGTTAGAGTCTGGTCTCCACTTGCTGCTGGCTGACTGCAGGGAAATCATTTCTACATTTTTTTAATTACAAAATCAACTCACAGATTCACCGTTTGTGCAGCCAGCTGAAAGCTGTTTATAGTGGTGATTTGCACTACATTCATCTGTGCTTGTTTATGTTTGCTTTGAAAATACTTATTGTGTTTGTCCTGTCCCCACTGTGGCCAGGCGTGTGTCTTCTATTTCTGTCCTGTTCTCACCCCCACTCTCTCCATGCTCCAGCCCCTAACGGTAATGCGTGGAAACGGGACCTGCAGACAGGAGGCATGGCACAGTCAGAAAGATCTCTGGCCAAACACACTCCGTAGTTTCTCCTACCACCGTGTACCTTTCTCCTTGGCTGGCTTTCTTTCTTTCTTTCTTTCTTTCTTTCTTTCTTTCTTTCTTTCTCTCTCTTTCCTTCCTTTTTTTTTTTTTTCTGAGACGGAGTCTTGCTGTGTTGCCCAGGCTGGGGTGCAGTGGCGCGATCTTGGCTCACTGCAACCTCTGCCTCCCAGGTTTAAGCGATTCTCCTGCCTCAGCCTCCTGCATAGCCGGGATCACAGGCGTGTGCTACCATGCCCGGCTAAGTTTTGTATTTTTAGTAGAGGAAGGGTTTCACCATTGTTGACCAGGCTGGTCTTGAACTCCTGACCTCACGCGATCTGCCCACCTCGGCTTCCCAAAGTGCTGTGATTACAGGTGTGAGCCACCACACCCAGCCCCTGGCTAGCTTTCTGCAAGGTCTGCCCACCTCAGCCTCCCAAAGTGCTGGGATTACAGGTATGAGCCACCACGCCCAGCCCCTTGCTAGCTTTCTGCTCTGAGGAGGAGCAGGAGCCTGGACAGTTAGGGAAACACCAGGCATGGCTGAGGAGCGGGGAGATGGGGGGTGGGGAGTGGGATTGGGAAGATAAGGGGAAAGGGTGTGGCAATCTCCTGGCCCTCAACCTCACTGTTCCCACCTGTTAGGAAGCAGCAGAAGTAGCCGTGGTCATGGTAACCCTTGGGAGACAGAGCAGTTCCTTGGTAAGGCAAGTAATAATGCACAAACAATAGTATTAATAACAATAATAATGGCAAATTATTAAGTGCCTTCTCTGTACCAGGCACTTTCTTTTTATGATCCCATTTAATCCTGGCAGGCAGATATTATTATCCCCACTTTGTAAATGACAAAACAAGCTCAGAGAGATTAGATAATGTGTCCAAGGACATACAGCTAGTGGCAGTAGGGGAATGGGGATAGGGTGGATTGAGATGAACCCAGGCACTCCAGCTTCCAAGTCAGTGCCTATGTTCCTCCGCTGCCCTGCAGAAATTGTGGGGTCGAAGCACGCCCACGGGCTAGCCTGTGGGCAGGAAGGAAATGCCAACTGAGGTGGGTGCCGGGACTTTCCTAGGCTGGGCTACCCTTCCTTCACCTTGGAAAGTCGAAAGAGGCCTCGAACAATGGAGTGATGAGCTGCCAGAGGCCTGAGTGCTAAGAGAGATGGTGGGATGTGGGGGACAGGCTGGAGGATGCAGAGAACACCAGTGCAGGCACTGGAAGGCCTGGCTTCTAGTCAGGGTCATACTCTCAACTCCCTGTGTGAGTGTGGACAAGCCGCTCACCTCTCTGGGTGTTTGGAAGATTGCTAATGTCTCCTTCTCTTATTTTAGGACCTCTGGGATTTTGGGGGTGGCAGGTCACATCTGTACTCTCCTTCTTGAAAAGATGTAAAAAGTATAGGTTTCCTCATGAATCACCTGCTTGAGTTCACAGTCTAAGGGTTCTCAGGCCATGTGGTGGGTGACGGGAGGTGGTGCTCAGCTGAGCACAGGCTGGAAGCTGGGGAAAGAGCGGAACAGAAGGTTTTCTGCCCCAGCCCCATCAGCGAATCAATCACCTGGTCTCTTTGTTGTTGCCTTAGAGCCAAAAAGATTCCCAGGACCTGCAGTGGGAGAATGGGCACCTGCGAGCCCATGGCAGGTGCCCATGGCGGGTGCTGGGCACAGCTGTGACAAGTCGTCTGGTTTGGTCAGGGGCCAGGGTGTGGCAAGCAGCAGGCCTGACTGGAGTGTGCTCGAGCAGGAAGCCCCCTGCTTCTGGGGAGGGCTTTGCTGGGGAAAAGGCAAGCCTTGGCTTCTAGGTGCCCTAGGCTGGAGTGCAATGGTGCGATCTCGGCTCACTGCAGCCTCTGCCTTCTGCGTTCAAGTGATTCTCATGCCTCAGCCTCCTGAGTAGCTGGGACTACAGGCATGAACCACCATGCCTGGCTAATTTTTGTATTTTTAGTAGAGACTGGGTTTTGCCATGTTGTCCGGGCTGGTCTGGACCTCCTGGCCTCAAGCGATCTGTCTACTTCTGCCTCCGCCTCCCAAAGTGCTGGGATTACCGGTGTCAGCCACTGCACCCAGCATGGAATGGGCTCTTGAAATGGAGAAAGAATTCGTGAAAAATTCAGGGCAGGAGAGTCAGAGAGGTCCAATTGAATCTGGGCAAGTGCCATGCTTCCGAGGCCTGAGGCCATGGGGGAGTCATCTACCCTCAGAGCCTCAGGTTCCTCAGCTGAAAAATGGGGGTAATAATGCCTATCTAGAGAGGTTGGTGAGAGAATTAAATAAGGGGGTACAAATGAAGCGTCTAGTATAGAGCCTGCCACAAAGTAAATAATAAATGGTGGTTGCCATTGTTATTGTTGTTGCTGCTGCTGTTGTTAATAAAAATAATAAATAAGTATCCTGAACAAGTAGAAGGAGTAGGGGACTGGGGGTTAGGTTTTTGCTACCCTCTGACTGTGTGATTTCTGTCACCTCTCTGACTCCTTATCTGTCAGAGCAGGGGGTGGTACCAGCTGATCTCCGAAGCCCCTTCCTGCTCTGACAGCCTCTGAGCTATGAATAGATGAGGCTTGGGCCCTGGAGGAGTTTAATGACTCAACAGCTAAAGTGGTTAAGACTTCCTAAGAAATGACTTTCTATTACTGTTGGGTGAACTTAGGGCACCAGCAAAGGAAGGGTTTCCTGGCTGGGAGACCAGGGATAGGGAGCTGGAGGAATCCTTCCAGCCAGTGGAGACGGTGACTAACCAGGTGAATGACTAAGAAAGAACCTGCTGACCTCCAACCAATCAGGGCTGCCCATGAGCACCCTGTGAGCTGGCATCACTAAGCACGGCTTGGCTGTGTCAGGCCTGGCTGGGTCTGAGCTTCATAGCATATGGAGTCAAAGGAAGCAGCCAAAAGACCAGCAGGGAAAGAGCACTGGGCTTGGAGTCAGAAGACCCAGCTTCCCACTCTGACTCTGCTGCTTACCAGCTGGGTGACTGGGGGAGCCGCTTCCCTTCCCTGAGCCTTCACGCCTTCATCCATGCAGCAGAGCTAACAATACCTGCCCAGCAACTTCACCAAGTCATGAAGACTGAGAATCATGACAAGAGATGCAAGTGCATTGTGATCACTAAGGTAGCAAATGATGGGAAGTGCTGTCATTATTCCATCCCAATGGGACACCCGGTATCTCAGAATGAGACTCATTCATGTTTTCAAAGGGGTCAGGTGAACACAGGCTGCTGCCCTTGGGTTTGGGGCCATTATCAGCCTAACTAAGGCCCCTTTCTACCATCTGATCACAGCCCAAATAGGTTTTTCTTAGAGCAGAGCCCCTGTGGACAGCTTCCAGCAAGGTGGCATAGCCACAGTGGAAGGCAACACAAAGCCAGGATGGTCAGGTGGGGCAGGGAGGGAGGGGCCCCCACAGAACCAGGGGGGTGGTCTGATGTTGTCTTTCCTCTTGCCCAGCACTTTATAAATAAATAATCACCAGAACCGCACTCTGTCTGCCTCTCCCCCCATGGCTTTTAGCGTCTCTCTTGGTGAGGACTGCAAGCACTTTGGGAAACGGCAGAGGAAGAGGGAAGGATGCTACCCTTTCATTTCTGCACACCTTAAACCCATCAATAGCATTCTGTGTGTGCTCACAGCCTCTGGGTACTATGCTGGCACTTGGAGCACAGAGACAGGAACTGCAGGACCTGCCCACATGGAGGTTGAGTACAGTGTGGTCAAAGAGACAAAACACTTCCCCTATAATGCAAATAACCATTCAAAACAGCCAACAGCGTGTCACCCAGATCATCCTCACAGTGAGACCTGCAGTTGTCCAGAGCAGTGGCCTGGGAGGCTTTGAGGAGGAGGGGGGATTTGAGCTGGACCTGGAAGGTTAGCATGGACAAGATAAATAGAAGGTAGAGCCAGGCGCAGTGGCTCACACCTGTAATCCCAGCACTTTGGGAGGCCCAGGTGAGAGGATCGCTTGAGGCCAGGGGTTTGAGGTTGTGCTGAACTATGATTACACCACTGCATTCCAGCCTGGGTGAGACAGAGTGAGACTCTTTCTCTCAAAAAAAGAAAAAAGAAAAGAAAAAGGGCAGAGAAAAAGGCATGCCAGACAGGCATACTTAAGGTATTCTCAGAGGACAGGTTGGCAGCTATCGAGAGGGATCACATAAGTAAGAAGTGAGATGTGAAGTCAGACATAGAGGTTGGAGCCAGGTATGGAGATCCTCAAAATTTGAGATAAGGAGCATAGACCAGATTCCATGGACAGTGGAGAGTCATTGAGGGATTCCAAGAAGGGAATTGGTTTGGTGACAGCTGAGTTTTTCTTTCTGGCAGCATTGTCCAGGGGAGCATGCCTTGTTGTGGGGTAGGCAGGGAGGTCAGTTGGGAGGTTACTATGAAGCTGGGGACCATGGGCCTGAGAAGGAAAGGGGACACGCGTGAAGGCTTGACGTGTGGAAAAGAGGGAGAGAGAGGGTCCAAAGATGTTCAGTCTGATTCTTTTGATTCTCCAGACAGCTAAACAGCTACTGAAACCCTGGCAAATAGTAGTGGGGTGTGAGAGTGGAAGAGACTGCAGACCAAATCTGGGCTGGTGTTTTTCAGGAAGCGGGCTCCTCTTTGGGCAGACCTAAGTCTGATCATCCTATCCTAAACTCACAGGACCAGTAGGACCCAGAGGTGCCCCAGCTGGGCCACATCCACTCCCAGGGCCCTTTCCTCCCTCTTCCAAGAGAAGAATCCAGAAACGACACAGCATAGCTCCCCATGGTCCCCAGGGAGCCGTAGATTCTTGGAACAGTGTCCTGCAGTGGATAGACCGCAGGAAGAGTGTCTAGTCCTGCCTTTTACTCCCTCAGCTCCTGTTGACTCCCAGGAAAACAATGCCATCTTCATGGGCTGCGCTAAGTGGCAACGAACCCCTGGGAGTCTGATCAAGGCAGGGAAGGGGACTAGGGAGAGGAGAGGGAACAGTAAAGACAGAGGAAACTGCTTCTGGAGGCATCTCAATGGGCTTTGGGGGAAGGTGGGTTTCATCTCAGAATCCAAGCACGTCGGGGCTGGGGAGGAGCTCTTGAGATCATTTTGGCCACCCCTCCTTGTCTGGAGGTGAGCCTGAGACCCAGACAGGGGAAGGGACTTGCCCAAGGTCATATATCACGGTAGTGATGGAGCTGGGCTGAAATCATAGGGTGTTGGGGACAGGTAAGGTGTTATTCCCGTCTGGACAGTTTTGAATAGCACCACCAAGGGCCTGGCTAGAGATTCCTTTCCTGGGCAACGTTTGTTCTCTCTCTCTCTCTCTGTCTCTCTCTCTGTGTGTGTGTGTGTGTGTGCCCGCCCTGTGTGTACCCTGTGAGTGCCTGTGTGTATCTGTGTGCATGTGTGCCTATGCCTGTGTTGTCTGACAGTCTGGGTGTACGTGTGGCCTCCTACATGGTGATCTGCCCTGGCTTGGAAAGAACTGGGGTTATTCCTGTGAGGTGACTGTTTTGCTGGGACAGCAGAGAAGAAGGCTGACAAGGCCAGATCTGGCTTCCCGCACCAATTCTGCCGCTCTGAGAAAATCACAGGCACTGACTGGTGGCGACCAAACTCCTGGAGCTGAAACACGCAGACACACGTACACTCACAGCCGCCGTTATAGGGTGGCCCCAAGTGCCCCGAAGTGCCGCATTCCGACATCCTCATGCCTCCCCAGAGCCCAGCAGGTGTAGACCTGCTAGGCTGTGGAAGCCGATCCTCAGGGATACGGAGCACTGGCGCTCTCCCGCCGCTCACTCTCAGCGCCCTGTTCAGGGCCTGGCCCGGCCACACCCCTCCTGCCCGAGCCTCCGCCGGTCGTCCCTGCCCCTCTCACACACTTCGGAGTCCCTGGGGGCCTATGCAACATGGCAGGGCCAAGTTAGGGCTGGCCCGGCCGGAGAGTCAGGTCCGGAGCCAGGAATCGACGCCTCCCCGAGTTCCGTCCCCGCGGAGCACACACGCCAGGCTGAACTCGGGTTTCTGCGAGCGCAGGGTTCGGCGCCCAGCCCCTCTCGGGGGAGCCCCCGCCCCCAGCCCCAGCCGGCCCCGGACGACTCCCGGAGCCCCGCGCCCAGCCCTGGGTTCCCGCCCCCCGCCCGGCGAGCCGTTACCGATGGTGGTGATGACGGTGATGGCGAAGTAGAAGGAGCCGGCGAAGCGCCACTGCACGCCGGCCTTGTGCGGCTTGAGGCGCAGCACGACGCGCTCCAGCTCCTCGTAGCCGCCCTGGCTGAGGTTGTAGCGCGCCCGCAGCTCCTGCTGCCGCAGCTCCAGCCGCTGCCGCTCGATCAGCTCGGGCTCCGACTCCAGCGCGTCGAAGACCGCGGCGCCCACCAGCAGGTAGGTGAAGGTGCACACGATGAGCGCCAGCGTGCGCACGTTCTGCCGCTTCATCGTCCCGCCCGGGCCGCCGCCGGCCCCCCGGCGCCCCCGGCCCGCGCCTCGGCCCCGGCCGCCGCTGCTGCTGCCCCGGAGGCGGCCTGGGGCATGGCTGCGCTCGCCGCTCTCCGCGCCGGGCACCCGCTCAGCGCCCGGGGCCGCCGCCGCCGCCGCCGCCGCGGAGCTGTCCCTTCAGCACCACCCACCGCCCTCCTCCGCCCGGCCCCGCGCCCGCCCCCCGCCCCCCGCCCGCAGGCCGCCTCCTCCCGCCAGCCCTCCCGCCCAGCCAAATAAGGACTGGGGAGACGCGCCGAGGAGGGAGGAGGGGGGCTGGCGGAGGGGACGGGAGGGGCGGCCGCGAGAGAGCCCGGGCAGGACAGAGAGAGAGAAAGAGAGAGAGAGCGAGCCCGAGAGACAGAGAAAACTAGACAGCGAAACGCTGATAACTACGGAGAATGGGAGAAAGGCAGTGTAGGACTGAGGGAAGGGGGCTGTGTGACAGAGGAGGAGATAAAATCAGAGGTGCACTCAGACAGAAAAAGAAGAGAGGCGGGCAGAAAAATACAGAGCAAAAGATGGAAACAGAGAGAGCAACAGACTGAGACAGAGAGGCCTGGATTGCTGGAGATAAACTAATGACAGAGAAACAGACAGGAAGGCAAGGAAGGCAGAGCGAGCCCCTCCCCACCCCACCCTCCACCCTCATCACAGCATATTGCAGCCAGGAGGCACTTGGGGCCTCGCTGTCCTGCCCTTATCCTATGGATGAGGAAATGGAGGCCCAGAGAGGTCAAGTGACACGCATGGGCACGCAGTGATTTCGTGACAGCACTGGGACTCAGCCAAGCGTTCCTTCCTCCCAGGCCACACTCCTTCCTCCCTTGGGCCAGACTCTGGCTGTCTTGGAAGCAGGCAGGGCCCAGCTGTGGACCTGGGCACACATGAGCTGACACCCAAGGGAAAGCCCTGTTCTCAGGCAATGTGTGCCTTCCCAGGTCAGCACAGTTCTTGGAACTGGCTGAGAAGGCACAGGCTGGGAGTCTAGGCCTCCTGCTTCGCTCCCAGGGGCTTCTAGGCTGTCCCGACTCCCATGGTTCCTGTCTTGCACCCGTGCACCAGGCTGGGCTTAGGCTGAGTTGCCAGAGATAGCACCTGCCACCACCTTAGGGCATCCCAGCAGAACCGGGATCTAGCTGGAATTGGGCAGGTGGGGCCCAGAGCAGGAGGCTCACTGGCAGACTGCGGGAACTGGGGCAGGAGAGGGGGTCCCTATGCCTCAGTTTCTTCATTTGTCAAACATGGTGGCTATGGTGGTGAGGTGGGAAGGGTAGTGGAAACTCAGGCATTACTGACCCTCTCAGAGCCTTGTTTCCTTATCTTTTCAACGAGGTGTCGTAGCAGATGATCCCACAGGCCTTGCCCAGCTCTAAACAACTCCAGACTTGGATGGGCTGAGTGAGCAGAATGATTGGAATGCAAATCTCAGTGCCAAGAAGGGTTAAAAAGTCCTTCACAGGACCCTGGCATGGGCCAGGCAGAGAGACAGGGAAGAGACACCAAGGCCCCTGACTGAGAGCAGACTCAGGAGGCAGTCAGCCAGAAGCTGGAGCACTGTCTACCCACAGGCTGGGCTGACCTGTCACTGCCGGACACTACACTCCTCCAATGACACCCCAGAAGTGCCACCAACCCCTTCATTCCTTCAACAAGTATTTATTAAGCATCTGTTGTGTGTCAGGGATTCATCATCTCTGGTCCTCACCACAATCCTGAAAGGTAGGTGTGGTCATGCCTATTTTATAGATGGGGAAACTGAGGCTAAAGGCAATGTAGAGAATCAGTAAATTTCACTCAGCTGGGAAGAGGCTTCAGTCTGTCTGCCTCTTAAGCCCATGCTCTTTGCCATGACTCCTTGAGTCTCTCTTTTTTTTTTTTCAATTTGTAAAGTGGAATAGATAATAATATTAGCTCTACCCGCGTCTTGAACCATTTGTTTTGAGAGATCAAAGAAGAACACATGTGTGCAAATCAGATGATATGAGGCTCTCTAATGACTTCAGAGCCCAATGGGAGGGTCCTACATTTATAGCACCATGTTCCCCCTCCCTCTTCAAGGGAAGATCTTTGTTTCTTTGCAGGCACAGAATTTCTGGTCTTGCCCTCTGACCAGCAACTCAGCCTATTGCAGGCTTTTCCCCTTTGCATCTTCTGGCTCCCTGGAAGGAAAGTACTGCCTTTCCCAGCTTCTCAGAGGTGAAGGTACAAGTTAGGTTCTGTGCATTTCTGATGTATTGGCTCCTGGTGACAGTCACCCCAGAAGCGAATTCCCCCAAAGCCTGTCTAGATGAGCAAGAGGGTTGCTAGACCAGGTTTTCAAGGTGAAAAGGCTGTGTCCAGGTTCTGCTTGCTTGTGACTGCCAGGCCAGACAGCTGTACCGATGAAAGGTGATATTATGAGTGAAAGAGCTTTGGAAAAGGGAAAAAGCTGTCTTTAGGGGCAGGGCATGTATTATTAATCATGATGAAGCTTTTTCTCTGAGCACTTCAATACTGAAAGGACCTTTAGAGATCATTTAGCCCAACCTTCTCATGTTACATATGAGGAAACTGAGGCCCAGACAGTAGGAAGAGTGTTGTCCAAGGTCACACAGTGAGTGAGGGGGAACCAGGACTCATGTCCCAAGGTTGGCACTTTCTTGTTGCACCTATTATGTGTGGGACCAGGGCACCTATCAGTGGGGAGGCCCTGAAGCCCAGAGGGCAGCCTAGGTCTCCTTCTTCCTGCCCCTCCTCTCTCCTTCTCTTGGGGAGAAGGTTCTGGAATAGGAGCCATGTTGGTACCAGTCTAGGTTTCTGAGTAGCCCCTGGGACTTGTAGGCAACCTGGGTCAGATTGTGCCAAAGACATATCAGCTTATCCCATTTCTTCCCATCCTGGGCTCCTCAGACCTGCCTGTGCCTGCCCAGTGTCAACCTGTCTCTGCCACCTGTTTGCTCTGGCATTGGGGGCCAGTCGCTCCTTCTCCTTGAGGCTTGCTGCTCATCCATCAGTGGAGGGGTCTGGACCAGGAAATGTCCACACTCCCTTCATTTATAGCATCCCATGACCTTCCCGGACTCTGTTTCTCTAGTTCTCCCAATAATCAGACAAAAAGAGGAAATAGCACTACTTTTAAGATTCTAGTTTGTGAGGAAAGGGACACAGAGTTAGGTAGGATAAATTGAACAGAATGTGTCATTAGTTACTATATTTTATTATATACTAACATCATACACAATTATTAACCAGCTTTATCTTCCAGTCCATTCTTCTCTAAGTTCTAAACACATCCAAGTACTTCCATGCTTCACATGGCTCATGTGGCTCCCATAACCTGGGATGCTGGTGCCTCCTTGCCTTTCCCATCTTCTGTCTGTTGAACTCCTATTCAGGCTCCAAGACCCAGCTTAAAGACCACTCCCTCCATGAAGCATTTCCCAGTTTCCTCTGATCAGAACCACTGGCTCTTTTTGTGCTTCTGCAGCACCCTATCTAAGCATCAACTCAGCAGGTATTCCTCCTGCCTAAAAGATTAGCTGTTCTTTCATATCCATCTTCCCCACTGGCTCATTATCTTCTCCAGGGTGGAGGAAACCCTTCTCACTCATGCTACTCTCCCCGCAGTACTTTGCACCTTAGAGCTGCTCCACATGTTTCCTTGGGTGACTCACTCAAATGAAGGCTTTAAGGATCTCTATACCTGAGTTAGAGACCATCAGTGTCAGAGGGAGAGGGGCACAGATGGCTGAGTCTGCAGGCAGAAAAACCCTGGCAATCTGCTTCTGTGGTTCTCTGAAGAGAGATAGTTCTAAAGCTGGGACAAGCTCTGTCTAGCTTAGGAGAGGAGGATAAAGACAGATGTGTGTCCCAGGGCCCAAGGAAGCATGTGGGAGACAGCATTGAACTAGGAGTCCAGAGGCTGGAGTTTGGTCCCAGTGCTGCCATCAACTACCACCAACTAGTTGGGTGGACTCGGGAAACTCACGTGGCCTCTATGTGTCTCAGTTTCTTTTTCTATAAGACAAAAGCGTTGGCTGTATCCAAAGGTCCCTTCCTGCTCTGACATTCTGGGATGTTAACGAGAGCCCTGGCCATTTGACCAGAGTGGTCAGTGTACAATGGCCAAGAATGTGGCCAGAAGGATGAGAGGCCCAAATACCTCCCTGTCCATTGCTTTCCAGCCCCCTGTATTGGCAGTTTGGCTGGAGGATAGGGGCAGGATCAATGAGGTAGGACCCTGAGTCAGACAAGCTGAAGTTCAGATCCTGACTCCATCAGTTTCTAGACCAGATCCTCACGTGAAATTCAAGTTCGTTTTGTTTAGAGCAGACCATAATCTCCTGTAGGGCAGGGGTAGGGCCTTACTCATGTCTGTAAGCCACAGCTCCTGGCACAGCAGCTGACACAGAGAAGGTGTTTGTAAACACCCCTCTATTTGGTCCAGTTGGCCTGGTGGGCTCAGGTGGGTCAGTAGGGCCTGGGGCCCATGGTTCATGTAGGAGGCAGGGTCCAGAGCCATCTTGACATCAAGCCAGGGTCAGGCCTGAGAAGGGGGAGAGAAGCCCAGAAGCTGCTGCAGAAAGCCCAGAAGGACATTGCTGACACCGAGCGCTGCACCAGGGATCATGGCCTCTGTCTGCAGGTCAATCAGATTTAGGGTGCTTTGGGTATGATTGGGGTGTTTCTTGGTGTATCTCTGTAGGGAGAGAAGTCAGGGGATTAGCCTGGCTTTATGGAGCATAACTGGTCCCAGTGCAGCCGGCTTGCATTTGTCAAGAGACACTATTTGTTTAACATCTCAAGCCCAAATCAAACACAAAAGGCAACTGTTAACAAAGAGAGGCTCTGCGGGCTGTGGGGGAGAGCACACGGGGCTGGGAGTCTGGACACCTGGCCCTGTTCTTAGCCCCGCCCAGTCGTGCTGTGGGTTGGGGAGAAAGGGTTCTCATCTGGGAATGAGGGGTCAAATTCAAAGATCTGTGAGGCCAGCCCTAGGCTGGGACTGGGCTTGGCTCTCCTACTAGTGAGAGTGAGGAACAGCAGGGCTTTGTGGAGTTGCTGTGGGGTCAGGCTTGCTCCTGCTCACAGCAGCCATGGACAGCATGAAGCCGTAGCCCTTATTTCACAGTCTGCATCCCCCGTGTGTGATGAACCCCTGCCCCTAGAGTGGCCTCCTAAGTGGCCTCCATTTCCCTGAGCCTGTGATGAGCATCCTTGTGTATGCGTGCTTAAGGATCTGCAGGGAATTGTTCAGTGGCCACAGTGCTTATGCCTGCTGAACTGGCCCCCAATGCCACAGCAAACATGTGGCAGAGACAGGTTGACACTGGGCAGGTGCAGGCATGTCACTAAATACTGCTGGGCTGTCCTTGGCATGGCAGTCTTGGTTTTCATTCTCCCCAGCAGTGCACAAGATTCCCGCTCTGTCCTCACCGGCACTGGGATGATTCACTTTTCTGACTTTACCATTTGTGTACCTCCCTCCCCACTTTCTACTCATCTCATCCTCTTCCCCCTTTTCCTTTCCTCTTCAATGCCTTCCCCTTCCCACACTTGGGGCAGGGGCTGGGACAGACCCAGCCATTACTGGGGTTTCAGGAAGGCCAGCAGGTGATACAGAGCCAGACCTGGGAGGAAATCAGCCTTTGTTCTCCAGCCTGGAGTGTGTGTGTGTGTGTGTGTGTGTGTGTGTGTGTCTGTGTGTGTCTGTGAGTCTGAGAATTTCAGCTTCAGTCCTTGTCTCCTCTTCCCCTCTTCTTCTGTCTTCTGGACCTTTGCATTTTCCCCTCCATACCCAGTCTTCTCTGCATTTGGCCAAGGATCACAGAGTAATTAAAGCTGGAGAAAAGCGTAGAATGCCCAGTGCCCATGAGGAAACTGAGGTCTGGCAAGGGGAGTGAACACCTCCAGGCCTCACGTCTATGCTACTTCCTAACTGAATACCATAAGATAAGTTCGCTAAACTCGCCCTCTTCCCACTGCAAGAATTAAGTCCCTTAAGCTTGTCCTCTGCAGAGGTTCTGGAGTGGCCACAGCCTGTATTTCCTGACAAACACATTGTTGCTAAGGAAGAAAGTGAGCCCGGAGATCGTGTCAACAGCCTCACAAATCTTGAAATCCTCTGTGCAGGTTTATGGCTTCTGAGAAGCAAGCAGAGGCAGCCTGTTCTCAGCACCGAATGCAATAATTACAAGAACACTTGCAATGATTAATCAGCCCGTGCGTATTGAGTGGTGCCTGGGAGCACGCACGGCAGTGTGTGTGCTTGTGTGTGTGTGTGTGTGTGTCTCAGGGCAGGGGAGAGGGCAGCAGAGGCGACTGCTACTGGTGAGCAGGCTGCAGGTGTTCTTCCCTCAGTGGACAGGCTCAGGCAGCCACGATGGTGCTCCTTGGGTAGTGTCATGTTCTGCTAGGGCTGTAGTGGTTTCTGCCAAGGGAGGAATCTTGACACCTGTGACCCCCCCTGCTGGGCTCCGGACCAGCATGCTGGGAGGAAGGAATTGACAAACAGAGGCGGGTTCCAGGCCTGTCAACCAGATTAACGAGGGGCCTCGCCAGCATGATGTACGTGGCACAAAGGAGGGGCCTTGGGATGTTCAGCCGGAAGAAAAGATGCAGGGGACATGAGAGCTATCACCTGAGGAGGGATTGGCTTTGCTCTGTGTAGTCCAGAAGGGGCCAGTGATCTGTGGGGATGATGCAACAGGGAAAGAGCTTTCAGTTCAACATAAGATGGAACATTCTCCACGTCCCTGAAGAAGGAGTGAGCTTTCCAGGATGGTGATGAGCACTTGGTCACCAGAGGTATGTAAGCACAGTTTGGGTGGCTTGAGGCTATGTTAGAAGGATCCTAGGAACTAGCAGAGTGCCTGGCACGTGGCAGGTCTGCAAGGATTGCCTTTTGACTTGACTGTTGAATATTTTGAGTTTGGGGCTGGTCTAGATGCCCTTTGTGGATCCGTTGGGCTCAGTTTAACATTTATGGAGCAGTCTGTCTATGCCGTCTCTGCCAGACTCTATCCCTCCCACCTGGAAATGCTGTATTCCCTGGCTCCAGGCCTCAGGAAGGGATGCATCTGGAGTTCTTGCATAGCCTCCACAGCAGTGCTTTCTTCCAGCTCTCCAACCCAAGCCAGAAGCCCACCCACATGCACTGTACACCCTGTTACCTGCAGAGGGAGGTCCATCATGCACAGGTTGGAGTGAGGGCCTGGAGGCCCTGGACTCCAGCAAGGGAAATGGGCCTCTGGCAGGCTAATTATTGGGAGCTGATACTATTAAGCAGATAGCTCGCTCTAGGCAAAGCAATTACATCTAATCAGCCCCTTGCAGCGGTCCAAAGGGATAGCCATTTGAGCCAGACACATGCGCGAGTAGGAGCATCAGAGTAACCTGAGGTCCAGGCCTGGGCAGGCTGGTCTGAGGCCAGGGGTTGCTCAGAAAGCAGTTCCCTGGCCCCTTCCACAGGCTTCCCGGATCTCAGAGCACAGTGCACTGTAGAAACAGTATCAAAGGGGGACTCAAAGACCTGGGTTGAGGCTTGGCTCTGCCACAAAGGAGCTGAATTTCACTGAGGAGAGCACTTTTCTATTCTGAGCCTCAGTTTCCCTATCTGTCAAACAAATAGGATGGACTAGAGAAGATCCATTCTAATCTTGAAACTCTGGTCTATGCATCCCAGCTGGCTTGAATTCTGGTTCAGGTTAAAGTGAGCTGACCAGCTAGAGAAAAACCTGTTTGAAATCCCCAAACATAAAACACACACTACAGGATCTAATTATTCAGACTGTGTTTTAAAAAATAACTCAAATAGCACATTTTTAAAATAAAAATACAGATGTCCTGGTACTATTCTTCTTTTCCTCTAGAAATTTTATGAAATGTGTGTTCCCCCAAAAACAGCTATGATATTTTGGACCATGATTTAGTGGCTTTAGAGTCCCAGATTCGTCGAGGAAGTTGGGTGGGTCATGTTAGAGTGTTAACAAACGGGAAGGGGGTACCTGGAAATGAAGGGTGATGAGCAAGATGGAAAGAGATGAGGTGTGGGCCACGACAGCATCTGTTCTATCCACGTTGCTTCACATGGCATTCTCCTTTTCCAGAGGAAGAATTCCCTGGAAGATTTTCTGAATGCTGCCCCCTTCCCATGCTGAAGGGGAATTTTAAACAGAAGTTCTAGAACTCTGGATCAGTACCAAACGACTGATGTGAACCAAACTCACCAGATGGGCAGCCCAGTGGAAGGGACCAGAAGGCAAGAGGCCTCTGTGGTGACCCTGGGCAGGCCATGGCCCTTCTCTGAGCCTCAGTTTCCCCTCTATAAGTGAGAAAATGGAGAGAGCAATGTCTGCATAGCTCACCTCACACAGGGGTGGGGAGACTGCCAGTGTGAATGTGAAACTAATATAATATTTTGTTAAAAGGTGAGACTGTTATTAATAGCTGGGCTTCAGGTCTCCCTCTCCAACCTCGCCCTTCTCTCTGTTTTGATGGTTTTGAGAGCCAGCTGGCCTTGCTGGAGCAGACAGTGGGAACTACCTGACTTTCAGCTTTTCCTGGCCTTGGTGATCTCAGATGCCTGGTGCCTATGTAATTAGACCAAAGCCTCGGTCTGTCCTCAAAGAAGAGCCCTGGTGCTGATTGGCAACCATTGGCCTTGCTGAGCCACACACAGCCTTTGGGTGGTATTTAGTGGGGGTGGGGTAGGGGGCAAGAAGCAACCTTGATTCAGAGACTGGGGCTGGGGAGAGCGGATTCTCCTGGATCAGGCCCAGAGGAGAAGAAAAGGAAGGAGGCAGGACGTGCGGGCTGGAGCACAGAGGCAGGCTTGGGCTGTCCTGCTCCTCCGCACCCAGCACTAACCATTCACCGAGAAAGAGACTGTAAAGAAGATGCCACTTTATTCCCCATCTTTTTCAGAGTGTGATGGGAGAGAAGGCTAGACTGGATGCTTGCTGGAAAGCCTCAAGGGTTGGTTTGGTCAAAGAAACCTGCACTGCCACTTGGAGGCAGTTGGGGGACATGAAGGTGCTTGGGCAGGGGTATGACATGATGAGCTCCTGGCTTTGTTGGCTCTGCCTGGCCTGGGTTCCTCGGTTGGTCCTCCATGCCATGCACCATTCACCCAGCTGGCCTCTCCGGCTGCACGCCCTATTGCTCCCCTAGGGCTCCTTAGACCCGCCATTCTGTATTCTTTGCAGTTCCTCCAAATATACCAGCCTTTTTCTTGCCTTCATGCCAGAAATACACATCACACCACGTACATATATGAATGCACTTAGTGCTCCCAACCACCTTAGCAATGGCAGCATTCCCAGCTGACAGATGAGGAAACCGAAGCTTCCAGTGAAGCAACTTGTCTAAGTTTTCATAATTAAATAGACAACATGGCCAGGCTCAGCGGCTCATGCCTGTAATCCCAGCACTTTGGGAGGCCAAGGCAGGCAGATGACTTGAGTTCAGGAGTTTGAGACCAGCCTGGCCAACATGGTGAAACCCTGTCTCTACTAAAAAAATACAAAAATTAGCCGGGCGTGGTGGCAGGCACCTGTAATCTCAGCTACTCAGGAGGCTGAGGCACCAGAATCGCTTGAACCTGGGAGGTGGAGGTTACAGTGAGCCGAGATCACGCCACGGCACTCTAGCCTGGGTGACAGAGTGAGACTTGGTCTTAAATAAATATATAAATAAACAAATAAACAAACAAACAGATGACAGATCCGGGACTGAAACCCAGATAACTCTGACTCCCAAGTGTGTGCTTTGCCATCTGTGCCACACTCCCTCACTAGAAAATGGTGGGGGCCAGAGCTATCAATGACAGAGAGTAAAACAGAAGGTGCTGGCAACACTGGGCCTGGCACATAGTGAGAGCTTAGGAAAATACTGGTCACATGCATGAATGAGTAGCTCAGAGAGGAAGGCTGTTGGGAGGGCCAGGACCCAGCACCTGGATTCACCCAGGAGGAACCTATGCTAAACTTGGAATAGGAAGTATGTAGAGCTGTGGGTGATGCCAAGTGACTTGAGCTCGCAAAGGGACTGTGAGAGAAGACTGCCAGTGAATGTGCTAGTGACCCATGCAAGGTGGAGATGAGGGAGAGGAAGAGCTGTCCATGGCCCAACCTGACATCCAGACCAAGCAGGGACTCATAAGGATCCCCATATCTGTGCACAAGTTAAAGGATGCTTTTGAGGCTTTCAGCCGGGTGCCTGGAGAAGATCCGTGTCTCCAGGGCACCCAGTGATTTGAAGGAACAGGGATCATCCAACTAAATGGACAAGTTTGGTCATGGTGTTGGGTCACCATGGGGAGGCCTGGGGGTACTCAGGCTCTGAGCTTCACAGATCTCAGATGATCCAGAGATGATGCCCTCCAGCGATCCATGGAAAGTACAGCACGTCAGGGAGATGGAGATCAGCTGGGAGGCAGTGCTCAGGCGGAAGGGCACGGTGCCTTCGGGAGATGGAAAAAGTGATGTCGTTAAGGAACAATGTGGGCCAAAGGAATGAGCTGTAACTTGCTGGATCCAAAAGGACAATTGGGAAAGTGGCTGTCAGAGGCCCATGGGTGTCTGACGATGGCCTGACACTGCCCTGGGGGAGGGACCGAGGCCCACCCCAGGGGCTGGAAGGGAATCACCCCATAGGTTCTGTGGTCCCTTGCTGTCCCCTAACACCATGCCAAGCAAAGCTTCTGGTCTATTAATAAATATTTGATGAATTGAGTTAAGGCAGGACTCCTGGCCAAAGAACTGTGCCCTGCTTTCCCAGAGGAGATCTAAGGAGGCAGCACAAGGCTGAGGAAGGAGCTCAAGCTCTGGAGTCGGCACCTCTGGGTGGGGTCTGCCCTCGCCCCTTTTTCTTAAAGTGGGGTTCCTGGCCCCATCTGCCTCAAGAGGATGGCAAGATGAAGGGAGATAAGGGAAGCTGCAGTCCTTACAGTAGGACTGGCATGCCACTGCCCTCTGTTCCCTCTTTTCTTGATAAGGGCTGGAAACCAACCCATGCCAGAGCCCAGGAAGGAAGCTAGCCTGAGGCTTAGATGATCTGCCTGGGTGACAGGGACTGCCAAGGGAGGAATCCTGACACCGATGGCCCCAGCTGCTGGGCTCTGGACCAGCATGCTGGGAGGAAGGAATTGACAAACAGAAGCAGGTTCCAGGCCTGTCAACTAGATTAATGAGGGACCTCACTAGCATCTAACCTGGGGTTGGGGGGTGGGCTGTGGAAGGACTGAGTTGATGAGAGGCAGGCAAGAGCCTTAGCAGGACTCAGAAGTCTAGAATCTTGAAATGAGCACCAAAGGGAACTTGCATGTGGTGCAGGAGGTCATCTGGACTGAATTCCCATTTAACCGGTGACAGAACAGAGGCCCAGAGTGGGGAAGGGCAGAGGGCTAACATGATGATGGCGCCAACACTTGATTGAGCTCAAAACCCATTGCTGAGTTTCCTAATAAGAAAAATTGAGGCCTAGCAAAGGGATGATGGTATTCCAGGCAAAGGCCAGGGCCCTGGACTGGAGCAGATACTCGTGTTGACCTTAGGAATCTGGAGGAACTGGGACCTGCTTTTTTGTTGTAGTCAAAATTTCTGGGAACCCAATTAGCCCTGGGTGAGGGCGCCAGCTTACCTTGTGCTACCCTGGGGAGTCCAGCCTTCTGCAAAGGGGAATTCTCTCTCGGGATTTTTGGGGCCAGAAAGCTACTGAGTCTGATGGGCTGGGACCCCAGGAGGTAGTTGGTCTCCAGTGGCTTGACGTAGATTGGTGGGGACCACAGATGACCACACCAAGCCCTCTGTCCACCTACCAATGCTGACCTTAGAAATACACATGTTTGCCCCAAAACTAAGCAGCTGTAAGAGCATAGCCAGTGCAAATGTGGCCCCACAGCCACCCCCATTTTTCCAAGGAGGAAAGGTCACTCCAAGTTTCACCCACACAGTAGATGGGGAAGATGGGATTCCTGGCGAGTTCTCCACAACACTCTGCTCTCTGTGTATCTTCCCCCTCTCTCTGCTTACACCTCAGAGCCTCCCTCAGAGCTTATTGTCCTCTCTCAGCTGCCAGGTCAGGTCCCCCAACTTCAACTCTGAATCCTGCTTCTCATCTTCTGTGTCTGAGCCCTTTTGCTCTTGGGTTGGACAAACAACCCTTGGGAAGAGGGATAGAAAGGGAAGCCCCAGGCCTTTGTATGGAGGAAAACTGAGGCATGGAGCTGGCCTGAGTAGAGACCAGGTTCCAGGCATCCTTGTCCTCAGGTCCAATAAAAGAGGCCTAGAGCTTCAGAGATAGACCGAGGCCGAAAAACGCAGATCTGTTTTCTTAAGCTCCCAGCTGGGGCTGAGAACAACAAATCCTCTTTGAATAAAACAGAAAAGGGATTAATAAAAAATCAAGACATTCACCTTCTGAAACTGGATCCCCCCACCCCCATATAGATTAACTGCTTTCCTAAGCATTTTTTTTTATTTCTATAAACATCTTAATTCATGTCGACATCATGGCCATCTTGGATTACGGATGGATGGAGAGACAGATGATCTCATCTCAGCCACATATGTGTGCACGCACACACACACACACACACACAGCGTGCCCATGTGCATGCACACAGGGACCTGTGCACACACCTGGAGCAGTAGGAAGAACAGCAGAAAAGAAGCTAAAGAGCTGGGCTTTATTTCCAGTTCTGCCACTGAACCCTGGACCTTAGCTTCCTCATCTGTAAAAGGGGTAGTTGGAGCTGCCGATTTCTAAGATTCCTTCTCAGCTCGCTCTCTGGAGCTGCTCTGGCTATGTGGGCCAGTTCCTCTTGCTTACTTCCTTCTCCTCCTCCCCTCCTGCTCCTCCAGCTTCTCAAGGGCCCTGCCTGTTTCTCCCAGAAGCTCCCTGACAGCCTTCAGGCCTGGAACACCCAACTCATTGTGGGGTGGGGGGAAACAAGCACCCGAGCTTTAAGTGGGGCAGGGCTTTTCTGGTTATTTCAGCTCTGCTGTAAATGCAACGCCACATGTAAAGCACCCAGCGTGCTGCCTGAGCACAGGGTAGGTGCCTCCCAAAGTCCATCCTTTTCCTTTTGCCTCCCTCTTTTTAGTTCACCTGGACCCCAATCCCCACCTGAGGTGAGGTGAAGAAGCCACATCCGATTTTATAGTTTCAGATCCCCTCAGCCTTATGTCACATGGCTCCGATCCAAACCCTCCAATTATTCCTATTGCTTTCAGGATGAAGACCTGGATCCTTGAAATTGCCTGCAAGACCCTTTTGGATCTGGCTCCTGCCTACCTCTCCAGCCCAGCTTCAAGTCCTCTATTCTGCCCTGCCCTAATCCTGGGCTTCCGGAGCCTTCTTTCAGGACCCAAACCCTCCATACTCCTTCCATCTCAGCCCCAACATAGACCCTTCTTCCACCAGCCTCACTCCTCTTCCCATCTGCTCACTTCTTCTCCTCTGATGGTCCCATCCCCAGGAAGTCCCCCATGACCCCAAAGAGGGTTACACCACGTATATTCCCCCAGCTCTCACTCTCTTCCCCAATGATGAAACACCATTATAATGGAAAGATCAATTGCATCTTAAGGACTGGGTATCTGCCTTCCCGACTAGATCTCAGGCTCTAGGAGGGTAAGGGCAGGTCACTATGCCTGCTTTCTTCAACACTGCCACCCAGCACTTGTTTAATGTCTGGTTCTTGATACATATTTGTTGAGTAAATAAATGACTGTCATTTAAAATTGCTCTCTTTAAACATATCTGAAACTGGGCTCAGCATCTTCCATGAAGTCCGGATATAAAATCCCCTAAAATAGCTTCACTCTTTTCTAGGTAGATATCTGACCTTCCCCAAAAAGTCTCCCTCTTTTCCCTCCTGACTTCTTAAATTCTTAAAACCTCAAGTTTCTCTTTAAACCTATCTCTGATTTGCCAGTATCATCACCCCAATCAGGCATCAGAGTTTCCAGTTTCTTCCACCTTCTTCTGATAAGCCCAATCATTTCCACACCTTGATTGTGTTTTGATTTTTGAGGCTGCAGCCAGCTGCAGTTATTCTCAGCCCTTGATGGCACAGAAGAGGAGGGTAGTTGCAGGGTATCCCTGACTCAGCTACAACCAGCAGAGAGATGCTGATGTCCTCACTGGTCCTGGACCTCTGCTGGAGGTGGAGCTATTGCAGTGGTCTGGTCTGGCAGGAGCAGAGGTTATGGGAATCCCTATTTGACTCTCATTTTGGCCAATATACCTTAAAGTATGCTCATAGCACAAAGGTTCTTTGAGATGTTCTGCAAAAGAAAGAATCCTGTGCCTGCTCTCTGGTCTCGGCCACAGAAGCAAGATGATGAAGGGAACATCATCGTTTGGAAAGCGTTGCAATAAGACACACGTTGTGCCACTGCTGTGGCTGTAAGGCCTATCACCTTCAGAAGTTGACCTGTGGCAAATGTGGCTACCTTGCCAAGTGCGAGAGAAAGTATAACTGGAGTGCCAAGGCTAAAAGATGAAATACCACCCGGACCAGTTGAATAAGGCACCTAAAAATTATATACCACACATTCAGGCATGGATTCCATGAAGGAACAACACCTAAACCCAAGAGGGCAGCTGTCGCAACATCCAGTTCATTTTAAGAATTTCAATGATTAGTCATGCAATAAATGTTCTGGTTTAAAAAAAAAAGAAGAATCCTGTGCCCAGATACACTTGGAGAACTCAGTACCACCCAAATAGTTCTTAATTGCAAGCAATGGAGGCCGACTTTCCTAATTTAAGCTTAAAAAGGATTTATTCTAAAGATCTTGGGTAGCTCACAGAATCTCCTGTGGGGTCAGAAAAATCAAGGTCAGAGGCAAAGTAGCCAGGAGCAACACCCAAAGTCACATTGTATGATAGATCCTGGGAAGACCCTACTGCTGCATAGACACCTTAGCTTGTGCCACTAGCTCCATCCACCCTGCCTCTAGGACCACCATAGCCCCTGCCACCACAGCTGCTGCCACCTCCCTCACTGCTACACAATGGGCTCTGCATAGTCTCACTTTTCTGCATCGTGAGTTTTGGATCCAAATCCTGGGGAAAATGCATGTGACTGGTGGAGGGAGGTCACCTGCCTCCCACCTAGCTGCAAGAGAGGCTGGGACAATGTGGATTGGCTTCATAGAGCTTCCATTCTGGGTTCAGCTTCTGGCTCAAAACATGGGGCAAATCCTCAAACATGGGAAGGGAGAGCAGATGCTGGGTGGCCCGAAAGAATGACAAATGTTCTCTACACTGTGGCCCCTGAACACCTCCCTGGAGTTCTATGCAACACTCTAGGACAAAGTTTCTCAGTCTCAGCACTATTGATATTTGGGCCTGGATACTTCTTTGTTATGGGGTGTCCTGTGCATTATAGGATGTCTAGCAGCATCCAGGCCTCTACCCGTTAGATACCAGTAGTACCCTCCCAGTTGTGACAACTAAAAATGTCTAAATACATTGACAAGTGTCCCCTAGGGGACAAATTCACCCCTGCTTGAGAACCGCTGTCTAGAAGATCTGAAGGAAATTTGTAATACATTTGGGAATCAGGACGGGTTTGGCCTGATTTCCCAAATTTATTTGACCATGGAAAAACTTTTTTCTCTAACACAGGAAATGCTGGGCTGGTCAATGGGAAGCCGGCCGTAGGAGTGTCTTTGTCCATTCTTTATTGCTTTAAAGAGAATACCTGAAACTGAGTAATTTATAAAGAAAAGGAATTTATTATTTTATTTTTAATTTTTTTGAGATGGAGTCTTGCTCTGTCACCCAGTCTGGAGTGCAGTAGTGCAATCTCGGCTCACTGCAACCTCTGCCTCCCGGTTTCAAGCCATTCTCCCTGCCTCAGCCTCCCAAGTAGCTGGGATTACAGGCACCCTCCATCACGCCTGGCTAATTTTTGTATTTTTAGTAGAGACGGGGTTTCATCATGTTGGCCAGGGTGGTTTCAAACTCCTGACCTCAGGTGATCCACCTGTCTCGGCCTCCCAAAATGCTGGGATTACAGGTGTGAGCCACTGTGCCAGGCCAAGAAAAGGAATTAATTTCTTAAGCTATGAAGACTAAGAAGTCCAAGGCTGAGGGGCTGCTGAGGGTCTTCTTGCTGGTGGGGACTCTATGCAGAGTCCCTGGGTGGTACAGGGCATCACAGGGTGAGGGGCTGAGCGTACTAGCTCAGATCTCTCTTCTTCTTATAAAGCCACCAGTCCCACTCCCATGATAGCCCATTAATCCACTAACCCCTTAATCTATTAATCCATGAATGGATTAGTCCATTCATGAGGGCAGAGCCCTCATGACCTAATCACCTCCTAAAGGCCCCACTTCTCAATACTGCCACACTGGGGATACAGTTTCCACATAAGTGTCAGAGGAGGGAAACATTCAAACCATAGCAAGGATTTTCATGGGGGTGGGAGGTTGCACAGGCCAAATGGCACCCCAGATCTTCCTGCCATCACCTTCCCCACTTGCCCACCTCTCTGAATGGGCTGGAGTCTCCCTGAGGTCAGCTTTGTGGAGGCCCAGGCTCTGGGCAGTTGGTGATGATTCTAGGAAACATTTCCAGGGTCCGAGGGAGGAGCCCAGAGAATGTCATTCAGCGTGTTAAGTTGGTCTTCTCTCCTTGGCTGTGAACCTGCCCTGCAGGCACAGGTACCTCCCCAACCACCAGCCAGGAACACTGTCTTGGGAAAAAGCAGCATCCTGTGCCTGCCCACTGTGGCCTCCTGTGGCCCTCCTGCATGGCTTGACAGAGGCCCCACAAGACTCAGGCTCCAGCCCAGCTGGTCTCCCTCTGCAGGCCCAGCCTCTCAGGCTGTCCTCCCGACAGGTTCCAGATCAAGGCCCTTATTGCTGCCCAAGGAATGCTCTGGATGCAGGGTCAAATGTGTTGGCCCCAACCCAGGAAAAAGCCCTACCACTGTGATGCAGAATGAGGGGTTACAGGCTCCTAAAGTGTGGGCCCTGGCCTCCCGGCCTGGCCTTTGGGAAGGAGCTGTTGGCGTTGCTGCCTCCAGGCTGGAGTGACACAGCATGGGGATGCGTGCGTTGCTGGCACACTCAGCTGTCCATTCCAGGGACTTCTGTGAGCTGGCAGTGTCCCCACATGGATGGCCCAGCTCCCTCCTGCAGCTTTTTTTTTTTTTTTTTTTACATGGAGCCTTGCTCTGTTGCCCAGGCTGGAGTGCAGTAGCGTGATCTCGGCTCACTGCAATGTGATTCCCCTGCCTCAGCCTCCCAGGTAGCTGGGATTACAGGTGTGAACCACCACACCCAACTAATTTTTGTATTTTTAGTAGAGATAGGGTTTCATCACGTTGGCCAGGCTGGTCTCGAACTCCTGACCTCAGGTGATCTGCCCACCTCGGCCTCCCAAAGTGCTGGGATTAAAGGAGTGGGCCACAGCGCCTGGCCACAGTTTCATCTTTGAAACTCCCCCTTGCAGTGTCTTCCGGTGACCTTGGCTCTTAACCTTGGGAAACTGGTTCAGTGGAAACAGGATGGTGCCAGGCTTAGACAAACCTGTGTTGGCTCTACCTTGGACATGTCACCTTCTCTCTGAACTTTAATTTCACTATCTATGTAGATTTATTAAGAGTGATTTTCCTTTCCTTCATTCTGTATTTTAGGTACTGACTGATGGCTTCTGGGTCATAGAAGGGGGGCTCCCTGAAGCCTCTGAAGATTCACGGCCCCCACGCTCTCGCCCCCAGGGCGCATCTTCATGGGGCAGGGGAGACAACTGGAGTGAAACAAAAAGGCTCGAAAATGCGTTGGATCCCAACCAGCCAGAGGATGCGCCAGTGGAAAATTCCTGCTGTGTGTCAGAGGCCCACCTGGCCCGGGGGACAGCCAGCCAGACACACAAGCCCCAGAGCGTGTTTAGACAGCGCTTTCCTGCTTCGGCCAGAGCTCACCCTGGCCCTCACCAACGCTCATTCTGGGAAAGTAGAGTGGGCCAGGCCCTCGCCTAGGCTCAGGAAAGCTTCTGCAGCTCTGTATCTGGAGCAGGGTCTTGGGGACAGCAGCATGAACTTTGATAGAAAAGATGGGCAGTAGGAGCTCCAGTTCAGCCTCAGATCTGCCCTGAACCCGTCTCTGGGACGCAGGAGTAACCGTGTCCTCTCCGTGGGCCTCAGGCTCCTCATCTATGCAGCACATGGGGTGGACAAGGGCGTCTAATGAGCCTTCACCAGCCCCACCCTTCTGCTGGTGCAGAGCCACAATCTCTAAGGGATCCCACATCTGCCTATGGAGAGGCCAAGGCTCCTTTCCTGGGCAGAACCAGGGGGGCAATTCTCAGAAGCTGCCCTCAGAGACTTAAGCTCAGCATCCGAGGAAGGTGGCCCAGCGGCTGTCTGTAACTGTGGGACCCATGCCTTTGAGAGTGTTCTCAGCACCCACTGAGGTTCGCCGGTGTGGGGGTGATGAATCTGGGAGGAGAAAAAGGTAACCCTGAGCTACAGGGTACAGGATTTGTCCAACACTGTAAGGGGAAGGCCTTGAATCTAGAAATGCCCCAGGGACCAGACCACATGCTCTAACGTGGTCTGAGCAGGTTACTGGGCCCACCACGGCCGTATGGAGTGGCCCTAAGACTTTGCACAGACCCCGTACTCACAGCTCCAGCCATCTAGGGGGTCTTGTGCCAGGCAAAGGCAGCCTGGGAGGTGGGGCATGGGCATTCCAAGCCCTCATAAGGGTTGAACACGTTGGCCAAGGAGGGTCTGCAGGTTCCCCTCTCTTTGGAGCTTGATTGGCCCTGTCTGGGATAATGGTCAATTCACCAGGGCAATGTCACCTGGGAGGTCCCTTAGTTGATGCTACCTGACCTACTAGACTACCTGTCCCTACCCCACTAATCACCTCTTCTTAGCTCAGGTTCCCACAGCGAGAACCACTCTTAATGCCTGTTACCACCCCACTTAATACCAAGAGGACATGACAAACTTTTCAGGGCCACCCCAGCTTCCAAACTCTGCCCCCTGCCCCCCACCCCCTGTCCCTTGACCCTGACATCCCCAGCTCATCTATGTATAGACCACCCCCTGGGCATATACTTAAAGGAAAGCTCTGGATGACATCACACACAAGCCAGGGCAAAGAGGAGCCTTGGCCCACACGACCCACTCTGGCTGGTTGCTTGTCCCAGCACATTGGAGGGGTTTCCAGACCTCATCGCAGCCTGTGCTTCCTTCCATCATTTGATCTAAGGCCAGATCAGTCCTTTCTCAGAGTTCTCCCAGTCGCTCAGAAAAAATGGTCCCTTTCCCAGATTCTAGGTCTGTTTCTCTCTGTTCCAGGTCAAACCTGCCCTTTGCAAAGTGCCTGCTGCCCAGGTTCTGCCCAGAAGCCAGCTGCAGGTAAGCTGCCCCTCCCGAGGTGGCTCCAGAAACCTCTTTCACTCAGGAATCCCTTCTCCTGATTCTTGTTCTCTTGCAGTCTCCAGTCCATACTCTTCCCCCTTGTGCATTGCTAGGGGCTCTGCTGGGATTTGGGTCACCCCAAAATCTCTTTCTTGCCTCTTCTGAGAACCACAGTCAACATCACAACGTGCACCTGTGCATCTCCAGAATCCCAGGGCACTCCAGGATGAATAGATGGGAGTGTGCGCACATGTAGGTGAATGTGTGTGCACATGTGCACACGTGTGTATGTGTTTGTGTGTAAGGGCACGTGTGCACGCGTGTGTGTAAACTCATGTGATTTGGGGATAATCTTGGCTTCTAGAGAGAACACAATGTCTCTCTCTTACAAAAGTTCCCCAAAGACCTCTATCTCCCTCTGTCAAAGTCAGCCAGGCCGGGTGAGTGCAGGTTTCAAGAGGGTACCTGAGCTCCCTCTGGGCCATGTCACAGAGCAGGCCATGGTTTCCAGGAGCCCTGGGCCCTGCTGCAGGGCCCTTTGCACCCCATGCTGCTTGAGCATCAAGACAAGGAGGGTTGAGCCCCAAATATCCTTACTGGGGGTGACGGTGGTGGAAGGCAGTTTGATACCGTGGGTAAGTCTGAGTTCATGAGATGCTATTTAAAAACAATCATCAGGTGATTGACTTTCTTTTCCAGAGCGTTCCTTTGGTCTCACAGCTCAGCATCCTGATTTATGGGGCACAGGATTCCAGCAGCTCTGAGAAGCATTCTGGTTTCTGCTGGGCTTAACTCCTGGGGAGAGGCAGAAGGGAGGGACTTGTGCTGGAATGTTAGGGGTTGGGAACCGAGGGAGGGGAGCTCCATGGTGGGGCTGGAACAGGAGCTCCGAGATGTTTCTACCGGCCTTCGGCTATAGATCCTTGGGCACAGGGAGGTGGGCTGGGGGCCCCAAGTCCTGCTGGAAGCAGCGTCCTCATAGCAGACAGGCTCCCTGGGTGAGCAGCTCCTCACCACTGGTGAGGCGCCAGGTGCTGTTGCTTACAAAGTGAGTTTCTCTGTTACAAAGCACGGCCACATTCACTGGAGTCACGGAGAAACTGTGTGTGCTGGGCACTCACTCTCTCCCATTTAACAGATGAGAAAACTGAGGCCTCAGGTTAGGAGTGGCTAAGTGGTGCATCCAAGGCTCTCACAGCCAGGAAACAAGGGAGCCAGGCTTCAAACTTGCGCCTTCTGATTTAAAAGTTCAGCCTCTCTCCATGAGCACAGTACACCTCGTTACCCTCAGCAGAGAGAAGAGCAGGGACCACTGAGCTTCCAGGCAGTCAGGCTTGGGTTTCAATCCTGACTCTGCTAGTATTGACTGTGAATTTGGACATGTTTCTCAATCTGCTTTCTTATCAATAAAGTGGATACAGTCAGTGATGCACTGGAGCTGACTCTTCCACTCCAGAAAGTCAATTGTATGCATTTCTCCCCAGCTCTGCATTAAGTAACATGAGGCCGCTTAGCTTGGAAAGGGCTAAAGTGGAAGCATTGACACCACAGAAATGGGCAAACACTACAAATCGGGACCTTCCTCCCCGGCGGGCTGGCTGCTAAGCATTTCCCTGCACAACCCTGGGGATAGTTCTTACCTCCAGGTCTCAGTAATGAGCTTAGATAAAGTGTGTAAGGTTCTCACCACAATGCCCCGATTCAGCAGATGCTCACAAATGATTAATAAGAGTAAACATTTTACATTTTCTGCAGCTTTATCATCTTTTATTCCTTTATTCACTTAGGAAAGTAATTTGGGCAAGAATGACTTTTCTTCATCCTGTAGATGAGGACGATGAAGCTCTGAGGGGCACAGAGGTACTAAGTGGGGCCCAAGTCTGAACCAGGATCTTTGTACTCTTCACCTTAGACTCTGTCCACAGCCCTCAGCTGCCCTCTCACAGGCCAGGCAATTTAGAGTCTCAGAAATAAGAGCATCCCAATGCCAGGAAGAATGTTACAGATCACCTGTCAGTGACGCAAGCCCCTCATGTGACCAACAAGGAAACTGTTGCCCAGAGAGGGGAATGGACAAGCCCAAGGTCACTCAGCCAGCTATGGCCAAGCTGGACTTTGGATCCCAGATCTCTGGATTCCCCATCTGCATCTCTCTCACTGGATCAAACTGCCTTTAGACCCGTGCACTGGGGTGGGACTGTCCTATTTGCAGGGCATGGCTGCTGCCCAGTGGGAGGGGATAGGATGGCTACTGGGGCAACCACCGCTTGTCCACCCTGAGGAGAGAAGGTATAAAAATAACGCTACCTGCTCTTCCAGTTCATCAAGTTATATGAAACTGTCTTGGGCATGCCAAAGCATTTGTAAATGTAAGTCACTGACATTTTGTCAACCAGCAAACCCTGAAGAGCTAGATCTTCCTACAGGCTCATCCATGGGCCTCTGTGGGCAACAGAGCACTGGGATTCATGGGCCGGGGCTGAATCCAGCTCCAGAATCCCCATGACCCTGCTCATCTTCCTCTCTCCCTCTCTCCCTCCCTCCCTCCCCTGCCTTCCCTTCTTCTCTCCTTCCTTCCCTCCTCCCTTCCCTCCTTCCTTCCTTCCTTCCTTCCTTCCTCCCTCCTTCCCTCCCTCCCTCAGGTTAGGAGTGGCTAAGTGGTGCATCCAAGGCTCTCACAGCCAGGAAGCAAGGGAACCAGGCTTCAAACCTGCGCCTTCTGATTTAAAAGTTCAGCCTCTCCCCATGAGCACAGGCAGCCCCCCGTTACCCTCAGCAGAGACAAGAGCAAGGGCTACTGAGCTTCTAGGAAGAAGCTTCTAGCTCCTTCCTTCCTTCCTTCCTTCCTTCCTTCCTTCCTTCCTTCCTTCCTTCCTTCCTTCCTTCCCTCCCTCCCTTCCTCTCTCCCTCTCTCCCTCCTTCCCTCCTTTCTTCCTTCCTCCTTCCTTCCCTTCTCCCACCTTCTCTAGAGACCCATCCTTGGGCTACTGGAGCCTGCTTTCCCTGCAGGCACCAGAACAGCCTGGAAATTTACATCCCTGGGTGCCCTCTAACCAGTGACTAAGGATGTGGGGGTGTGGAAGGCTGGGACCATGCCAGTGTTTCCTGTGAGATCAGGCTGAAGCCTCCTCTTGGGGCTCGACTTCAGGCCGAATGCCTAGTGGGCCTCCTCACTCCCCCTGCCCTTCCTCCCCAGTCCCTTACCAGCGGCCCCTGTGAGCACTTCCTAAGCAAATCCTCATCTCAGGGGCTGCTTCTGGGGAGCCCAACCTGAGACACCCACTTTACTGTTTTGCAATCACTTACCACTACTTGACATGATGCTATACTTTCATCTGTCTCCCTCCACTAGAATATGAGCCCCATGGGGGCAGGGACTTGATCTATTTTGTTTAACCGTGCACTCCCAGGCTGGAGCCGTGTCTGGCGTATAGGAGGTGTCCAAAAGATATTTTGTGGGATAAATATTCTCAATTAATTCTCACAATGACCCTGTGAAATGAAAATTATTATCCCCACTTTACAAATGAAGAAATAGTTTCAAAGAAGTTAAATAACTCACATGGGCTACACAGGTTGTATGTGGCATAGCCAGAATGCCAAACTCTACCTGTGTGCCTCCAGACCAAAGCTTAGCCTTTAAAACCCAACCCCATGTTTGCAGTTTCCAGAACATTCCAGGCTTTTTCACACCTCCTCAGTGATGCTGAAGCTGCTTCTTTTGCAAAAATATGCTCCCCTGCCCCCACCAACTCTGAATTGACCACCACAGTACCCTTTGAGACCCTTTGCGCCCCTATCGTTCCCAGACAGATTCCCCATGGCTATTTCTGTTTCTCTTTCCTGTAATCATTTCAGATAAGGCTTTGTCTTGCATCTTTGCTTCCCTAGCATCTAGCTGGAGTCTGGCAGAAGGCCAGCAATCTGTGAATGTTTGTTGAATGAATAAAAGGAAGGGAGGGAGGGAGGGATGGAGGGAGAGAGGAAGGGAAGAAGGGAAAGAGAGAAGAAAGGAGACAGGCATTCTATACTAGGAGGGGACAGAGAGTTCGAGACCCACGTGGACAGGGAAGGCTGTGGTGGGGTGTTGTGGGCAGCCAGGGGAGTCGGCCACATCCTGGGCCTTCTTGTCATGTGGTGTGGTTGGGATAGCTCTGATCAGTCACCTTTTTAAGCTCTGGGTCTAGCCTTAGGGCAGAAGCAGGATGTATCCTGGCAGCCAGCACCCAGCCTGGTACCCAGTAAGGGCTTAGTAAGTGCTGAATGAATGAATGAGTGACAGTGTGGTATGAAAAGCAGATTTGATTTGGAGTCTGAGTCTGAGGTTTGAGTACTGATAGCCTCTTTTCCAGCCTTTCCTCTCTATTCCCTGGCAGCTGCCTTGGTTCAAGTATCACGTGTCTCCCCAGACATCATCTCTCCTGAGGCTGCTGCTTAAATGAGCCTCTTACAGGAGGAATTGCCATGTCTCTCCTTTCCTGGCTTAGCAAATCTTGTTTGTAGGGTATCGTCAGACTCTACAGGCTCATCCTTGTGCATCTGTGGGCAACAGAGCACTGGGATTGATGGGCCGGGGCTCTGTGGTTCAGCCTATGAGGCTCTTCAGACAGTGTAGAGATAAGAAGATGGATGGCCCCTGGGGCCCACATCCCTGGGCTTGAGTCTTACTTCCATTACTTTCTAGCCACATGGCTTTGAGACGGTCTCTTAACTTCTCTCTCTCTTTTAGACAGTGTCTTGCTCTGTCCCCCAGGCTGGACTACAGTGGCACAATCATGGCTCACCATAGCCTCGACCTCCTGGGCTCAAGTGATTCTGCCACCTCAGCCTCCCAAGTAGCTGGGACTACAGGTGTGCACCACCACACCCAGCTAATTAAGAAAAAAAACTGTAGAGGGGTCTCACTATGTTCCCCAGGCTAGTCTCAAGCACCTGGGCTCAAGCAGTCCTCCTGCCTTGGCCTCCCAAAGTGCTGGGATTACCACGGCCAGCTGATTTCTCTTTATATCGTCCCACTCTAACATAGGAATCATGACAGTAGCTTTGTAACTGGGATGTTGTACATGTTCAATAAGTTAGTGCTTAAGATAGTGCCTGGCACACACGTTGGCCGTCAAATGACTACCCTTCTGGCCAAATCAATCACTGTTTTGGCACCACCTCACCCTACTCCCTTGCCACTGCATGCCTGAGTGATCCACAACAACTTGTGGTTTCCCAAACACTCCAGGTCTTCCCATGCCACGGTACCTTTTCTCATGCTGTCTCTTCCTGGGATACACACTTGCACTGTTCTCCCTAGAAAAATCTTAGTCATCCTTCAAGTCTCAGCTCAAATGCTGCCTCTATGTCTGTGAAGACTTTCTGGACTCTCCCAGGACATCCTGGGGGCTCTCTCTGGAACTTCTGCGCTGGGTACTGAGGCAATAATCTGATTGCGTTGGAACTGACTGCTCACCAGTCTGTGTGCCTTCAAGCTTCAGGCCTATTCCTAAGCCATCTAGCCAGTCCCCAATACAAATGGGCCTTGGGCATGATCCAATATTGTAGAGACATAAATTCTCCTAAAATTAATCTATAAATTCAGTAAAATCCCAATAAAAACTTAACAAGAGTTCTAAAAATGTAACTTTACAAGCTAATTCTAAAAGTCATCTTAGAAGAAAAAAATGCACAAGAATAGCCAAACAAATTTTGACACAGCAAGAACAATGAAGAAGAAACAGCCCTTCCACATACAAATATTTACTGTAAAGTGATGAATGCAGAGTGATGTTGGTATAATTCAATCAATGGGACAGTAAAGAAACAGATACATGGAAATGTAGTGTATGCTAAAGGGGCATTTTTAAACCAGTACAAAAGGACTGGCTATTCAAAAATGGTTTGGGAGCAATGGTTTGGGGACAATAATAGATTTCCCACTTGGGAAAAAATTAACTTAGATAATATATTGGTGATGGCTTTGCTTCCTGCAAAGAGAATTTATTCTAAATATTTTAATCAGAAAGGAATTTATGGAAGGTACATATAGCAGACAGGATTGTAGGAGGCATTGAAGAAAAAGACTTTAGGTTGAGCTTACCAGAACAACTTCCAAAGACACAGTGCAGAACTGAGTCACTGATGGAGCTGATGTCTGCTACAATCTGGAAGCTGCCAGATAGTAGGAAGTTTTTGCCATGGATGTTGTTCTGAGACCACACTGCCTCTAACCAGGATCTGTGCTAATAAAATGGAGGTGGTGCTACCTTTCTCTCCAAATAACTTGAAGCTTCATGTGAGTTGTATCTGCTTAGGTCCCTTAGGAAGCAGACATCGAGATAGAGTTTAAGAGGGTAAGAGATGTGTTGTGATAATGCCCATGCAAGGTAAAGCAGGGACAGAGCAGGAGTAGTAGGGAAAGTCTTCTGACTGTGACACAGTTATGACACCTGTGAAAGGAAAGAGAGAAGGAAGAAGGTTGGCCAGAAAAGGCCTCAGACTCTGGTGCAGCTCTGAGGAAAGTCTTGGCCACCGCAAAGATTGCCCATAAAGAAGTCTCTTGGTGGGAAGAATTGGCTATGCCCTAGTTTCCTCTCTGTGCTCAGTCATTGGCTTGGAGCTGTGATGAATCCCAAAGGCATCTAGCCAGGAGACTCTTCATTACATCTGGAATCCTAGCATGAGGGGAATCTCTGCAATACAGGAGGAAACACCAGAAGGGCACTGATATGAATTTTGAGCCAGCCATCATATAGTATCTATCTGCCGCAGATCCCTACCTCACATACCAAATAATTTTCAGATGGATTAAAGAGGCATAGATAAAAAACAAACCTATACAATTATTAAAAGAAAATAAAGAACATATAGGGATGTACTTCTATAACCCTGGAGTAGGGAAGGCCTTTTTAAGAAAGGCACAAAAGGCCAGGTGTGGTGGCTCATGTCTGTAATCCCAGCAGTTTGGGAGGCCAAGGCAGGCAGATGATGAGGTCAGGAGATCGAGACCACCCTGGCTGACACGGTGAAACCCCATCTCTACTAAAAATACAAAAAATTAGCTGGGCGTGGTGGCCGGCGCCTGTAGTCCCAGCTACTCAGGAGGCTGAGGCAGGAGAATGGCGTGAACCCGGGAGGCGGAGCTTGCAGTGAGCCGAGATCACACCACTGCACTCCAGCCTGGGTGACAGAGCGAGACTCCATCTCAAAAAAAAAAAAAAAGAAGTCACAAAATCTAGAAAATATAAAGACATATTTTAAATATTTTAAATTAGTTTTTATTGCTTTCCACATTTTAGGAAAATAATTGGTACTAACATACTTAATGGTGAGAAACTAAATGCTTTCCCCCTAAGATTGGGAACAAGACCAGAATGTTGCTTTTCTCCAGTCCTATTTAACATTGTCTTGAAAGACATAGCTAATGCAATAGGATAAGAAAAGGAAATAAAAGGTTTACAGATTGGAAAGAAACAAAATAGTTTTGTTTGCAGATAACGTGATTATCTATGTAGAAAATTTCAAAGAATTGACAAAAAACTCCCAGAACTAATAAATAATTGCAAGGGGCAGCATACAAGGTTAATATATAAAAGCCAATTGCTTTCCTATATACTAGCAATTAACAACTGGAATTTGACATTAAAAGCACAATGCCATCTACATTAGAACCAGAAAGAAAGAAAGACAGAAAAAAAGAAAGAGAAGGAATGAAGGAAGGTAGGAGGAGAGGGAGGAAGGGAGGGAGGAGAGGGAAGTACGTAAGACAGGCTGACTTAGGCATAAATCTAACAAAATATATACAGGATCTGTATAAAGAACTACAAAACTCTGAGGAAAGAAAACTCTGGTAAATAAATGGAGAAATATTCCATGTTCAATATTATTAAGATGCCCGGTCAGCCGCCCCATCAGGGAGAGAGGTGGGGGGTCAGCCCCCGCCCGGCCAGCTGCCCCGTCCGGGAGGGAGGTGGGGGGCGCCTCCGCCCGGCCACTGCCCCGTCTGGGAGGTGGGGGGCGCCTCTGCCCCGCCGCCCCGTCTGGGAAGTGAGGAGCCCCTCTGCCCGGCCGCCACCCCGTCTGGGAGGTGTACCCAACAGCTCATTGAGAACGGGCCATGATGACGATGGCGGTTTTGTCGAATAGAAAAAGGGGGAAATGTGGGGAAAAGAAAGAGAGATCAGATTGTTACTGTGTCTGTGTAGAAAGAAGTAGACATGGGAGACTCCGTTTTGTTCTGTACTAAGAAAAATTCTTCTGCCTTGGGATGCTGTTAATCTATAACCTTACCCCCCAACCCCGTGCTCTCTGAAACATGTGCATGTCCACTCAGGGTTAAATGGATTAAGGGCGGTGCAAGATGTGCTTTGTTAAACAGATGCTTGAAGGCAGCATGCTCGTTAAGAGTCATCACTACTCCTTAATCTCAAGTACCCAGGGACACAAACACTGCGGAAGGCCGCAGGGTCCTCTGTCTAGGAAAACCAGAGACCCTTGTTCACATGTTTATCTGCTGACCTTCCCTCCGCTATTGTGCTATGACCCTGCCAAATCCCCCTCTCCGAGAAACACCCAAGAATGATCAACAAATACTAAAAAAAATAAAAATTAAAAAAAAAAAAATGTCAGTTCTTCCCAACTTAACCTATAAATCCAACACAATCCCAATAGAAATCCCAGCAAGTTATTTTGTGGATTTCAACAAATTGATTTAAAAATTTATATAGAGAGGCAAAGACCCAGAATAGCCAACACAATACTGAAGGAAGACAATGTCAGAGGACCGACACTACCTGACTTTAAGATACTGTAAATCTATGGTAATCAAAATAGTATGGTACTGGTGAAAGAATAGATGCATAGATCAATAGAATAGAATAGAAAGCCTAGAAATAGACTAACACAAATATAGCCAATTCATCTTTGACAAAGGAGAAAAGGTAATTTAATGGAGAAAAGGTAGTCTTTACAACAAATAGTGCTGGAACGATTGGGCACAGATGCAAAATCAATGACTCTAGATACAGACCTTATACCCTTCACAAAAATTACTATAAAATGGATCATAGACCTAAGCAAAATTCAAAACCACAAGGTTTTTAGAAGATAACATGGGAGAAAATCTAGGTGACCTTGGGTTTGGTGAGGATGTTTTAGATATAACACAAAAAACATGATTCATGAAAGAAAAAATTGCTAAGCTGTACTTCATTAAAATTAAAAATTTCTGCTCTGTGAAGAACACTGTTAAGAGAATGAAAGACAAGCCACAGAGTGGGAGAAAATGTTTGCAAAACACATATCTGATAAAATACTTTAATCCAAAATACAAAAAGGACTTAAAACCCAATTTTAAAAGCTCTGAATAAGCACCTAAATAAAGAAGACACACAGGTGGTAAATAAGCATATGAAAATATGTCCAACATCATATACCACTAGGGACTTGCAAATTAAAACAATGAGCTACCACTATACACCTAAGATGGCTAAAACCCAAAACACTGACAACACCAAGTGCTGGTTAGGACATGGAGCAACAGGAACTCTCATTTATTGTCAGTGAGAATGTAAATGGCATAGCCATTTCATGTGTGTGTGTTTTTTTAAACAGTCTCGCTCTGTCACCCAGGCTGGAGTGCAGTGGCATGATCTCGGCTCACTGCAACCTCTGCCTCACAGGTTCAAGCAATTCTCATGCCTCAGCCTCCTGAGTACCTGGGACTACAGGCATGCACCACCACACCCGACTAATATTTTTTATCAGTAGGGCCACTTTGAAAGATAGTTTAGCAATTTCTTACAAAGGTAAACAGGCCTACCGTACAATCCAGCAATTGTGTTCCTAGGTGTTTACCAAAATGAGTTAAAAACTTTGTCCATGCAAAAATCTGCACATGAATGTTTGTAGCAGCTTTGTTTGTAATTACCAGTAGTTGGAAACAACCAAGATATTATTCTTCTATAGAAAAATGGATAAACAAACTGTGGCACATCAGTGCAATGGAATATTATTCATCATTAAAAAGATAGGAGCTGTCAAGCCATGAAAAGACATAGAAGAACTTTAAATGTGGATCGCTAAGTGAAAAAAGCCAGTCTGAAAAGGATACATGGTGTTTGATTCCAGTGATATGACACTCTGGAAAGGGCAAACTATAGAGACAGTAAAAAGATCAGTAGTCTCTAGAGATACAGGGGAAAGTGAGAGGAATGAATAGATGGAGTACAAAACATTTTTAAGGTGACAGACTATTCTGTATAATACTGTTATGGTGGATATAGGGCGTTATGTCTTTGTCATTACCCATAAAGTTGTACAACACAGAGAATGAACCTTAACATAAACTACAGACTTTAGTTAATAAAAATGTATCAATACTTGTTAATTAATGGTAACAAATACCACACTAATGCAAGGTGATGATAATAGGAGTGTGTGCATGCATGGGGTTGGGGAGTGTGCAGGGGATATATGAGAACTCCGTATTTTTTACTCGATGCTTCTGTAAACTTTATACTGTATTAAAAATACATCTATTAAAATGTTTTGAAGTAATTAATATACTTGGAGAAAAGTTCAGCGCAAATGTAACAGACAATAGGGTAACCACACATTCTAGTTTTCTCAGGACTCCTCTAGTTTATACTTGTTGTCTTGGTGTTCCATCTGGCTTAGGATTTGTCACTCTCAAAGTGTGTTGCTTTGGATGATAACTTATATAATCACCCTAGACAAAGGTTGTTATTTATTTATTTATTTATTTATTTATTTTTTTTTTGAGATGGAGTCTCGCCCTGTCACCCACGCTGGAGTGCAGTGGCACAGTGGTGTGATCTCGGCTCACGGCAACCTCTGCCTCCTGGGTTCAAGTGATTCCCCTGCCTCAGCCTCCCGAGTAGCTGGCATTACAGGTATGTGCCACCACGCCTGGTTAATTTTTTTTTTTTTTTGTATTTTTAGTAGAGATGGGGTTTCACCGTATTAGCCAGGATGGTCTCGATCTCCTGACCTCATGATCCGCCCGCCTCAGCCTCCCAAAGTGCTGGGATTAAAGGCGTGAGCCACCGCGCTTGGCAGGTTGTTATTGTTAACATATAAAAAGCTCTTATAAAGTAATAAGAGAGTCCAGAAGAAAAATGGGCAATGTATATGGACAGGTGTATTAGTTTGCTTCCATAACCTAAAATCCCACAGATTAGGTGGCTTAAACAACAGGAATTTATTTTCTCACAGCTCTGGAGACTGCAAGCACAAGACCAAGATGTTGGCAGGTTTGGTTTTTTCTGAGCCCTTTCTCTTTGGTGTGCAAATGGCTGCCTTCTTGCTGTGTCTTTCCTCAGTGTGTGCTGAAGTCTGTGTCCTAACCTCTTCTTCTAAGAACACCAGTCATATTGCAATAGGGCCTACCCATATGACTCATTTTACATTAATTACATATTTAAAGGTCCTGTCTTGGCCGGGCATGGTGGCTCACACCTGCAATCCCAGCACTTTGGGAGGCCGAGGTGGGTGGATCACCCGAGGTCAGGAGTTCAAGACTAGCCTGGCCAACATGGTGAAATCCAGTCTCTACTAAAAATACAAAAATTAGCTGGGGGTGGTGGCATGCCTGCAATCCCAGCTACTCTGGAGGCTGAGGCACAAGAATCATTTGAACCCCCGAGGTGGAGGTTGCAGTGAGTCAAGATCACACCATTGCACTCCAACCTGGGCAACAAGAGTGAAACTCTGTCTCAATAATAAAAATAAAAATAAGAAAATAAAATAAAAATTAAAGCCCTATCTTCAAATACAGTTATATTATGAAATGCTGGGGGTAAGGACTTGAACATACAAATTTTGGGGAGACATAATTCAGCCCACAATGACAGGCAATTTACAGAAAAAGTACAAATGGTGAATAAATATATGTAAATATGTTTAATATCACCAGAAGCACACAAATTAAACAGTAATGACAGCCCCTCCTCCAATAGAATAAGGAAAGAGAAAGAGGGAGGGAAAGAGAGAGAGACAGAGAGAAAGAAAGAGAGAGAAAGAAAGACAGAAGGAAGAAAGAAGAAAGAAAGAAAGAAAAGATTCTATCTAAGGTTGGCAAGGATGTAGGAAAATGCTATTAGTGAGAAGAACAGATACATCTTTTTTGGAAGTGAACTTAACAGCCTTCATCAAAATGAATATATGCATATCTTTTGACTCAGAAATTTCACTTTTGAGATTTGATCTTACAGAAATACTTACAGAGGGTCAAAGAGGCATGGCTGGGCATGGTGACTCATGCTTGTGATCCCAGCACTTTAAGACGCCAAGGCAGGTGGATTGCTTGAGGCCAGGAGTTTGAGACCAGTCTGGTCAACATGGCAAAATCCTGTCTCTAGAGAAAATACAAAAATTAGCTGGGCATTGTGGCATGCACTTGTAATCCCAGCTACTTGGGCAGCTGAGGTGGGAGGATCACTTGAGCCTGAGAGGCAAAGGTTGCAGTGAGCTGAGATCACACCACTGCACCCCAGCCTGGGTGACAGAGTGAGACCTTGTCTCAAAAAACAAAACAAACGAACAAACAAAAAACAAAGAGGCATGCATGAAGGTATTAATTACAGTATTTCTCATAACAATAAAAATTTGAAAAAATATTTAAGTTTCTATTGATAGGTAAATAAGCTATGGTATATCCATACTGTGGAATACTAGACTGAGGTTAAAAAGAATAAGGTAGATCTATGATAAATAGATATCATGTGATATCTGAGAAATAAAGTAAACCTAAGATAAATGGAATCATGAAACATATTAAGTAACTCAAAAAGAGGAAATAAAGAACAAAGAAGAAATGGGATAACTAGAATACAAACAGCAGAATGGTAGATTTAAACTCAACCATATCAACAATCACATTAAATGTAAATGATCTAAACACCCCAATTAAAAGGCATAGATTGTTAGGTTGTATTTTTTTTTAAATCATGATCCAACTATATACCACTTACAAGAAATCCACTTTAAATATTGTCATAAATAAGTCAAAAGAGAAAAATTGCATAAAGATATGTCCTGCAAATATTAATCAAAAGAAAGCTGGAGTGGCTATATTACTATCATACAAAGCAGATTTCAGAGTAAAAAATATTTCCAAGGAAAAAGAAAGTTATTTTATAGTGACAAAAGGATCCATTTATCAACAGGACATAACAATCCTAAATGTACATGCACTTAATAAGAAAGCTGACTCAAAATACATGACGCAAAATGAGATAGAACTGCAAGGAAAAAGAGAAAAATGCACTATTATAGCTAGACATTATTTTCTTGTTCTTATTTTATAATTTTCTATTCTTGTTATATGGGAATCTCCTTTATCTCTTTCATCTCTTAATCAAACTTAAGGTCCTTTTCAGATCACTTTTTAGTCTCTAGTTCCATTGATGTTAGTTATTCCATTTGCAGAGTCAGTAGAATATCTATCTTGGCATTGGACTTTCCTATCTGTTTTATAATTTTTGTGTGTGAGCTCATCTTCAATAGGTGTTATTTTTCACAGGAATCCTGTAAGTGCCTTGACTTATTAAGGCCTTCTTATTGGGTTATCTCACTATTCTCCTACTCTTTTGGGGGTTTGCCCTTTCTGACCCTCTGTGGTTACAGGTTTCTGCTTCATTTCTGGTACCTGGAAATTTTCTTTTTCTTGCTTTTGAGCTTAGCTATGTTTTAAACTGAAGTTTTATATAAAATGTTATAAAACGTTACAATTATATAACATTTCACTGTTTGGAACAGGTTTGGGAAACTTCCATATCGGATTAAATTTTAGTTTTGATTGAATGTCTTAATAGGTCTCCTACAACAAAATCTTGAAGTCAAACCTTCACCTTCTCTCTCTCTCCTTGTTGTCCTTTGTTATGGAATTAAAAGTTACTTTACAGTAAATTGATGTTTTTCTTTTTTTTTAATTGAAAAAATGACATTTTAGGAACATAAACTGTGTCTGCCTTTTCAGGTGGAGACTAGAATGCTTTGTGGAAGATGTTCTTTTGTTTTGGAATGCACCACTAGAGTTGATCCTTTGAGCTAGGCTAGTATAAAACAGCCAGGGTCTACCTATCATTCTTGGGGAGTATGGGAAAGCACTGACGGGCCTCTAAAGGGGATTACTTAGTCTGAGATGTTAATACCATTTAGTAATATACATTTAATGAATTTGTTGAATTATGTCTCTGAGGATTGTTTTATTTAGAGCACCACCATCTCCTAATTTGGAATGTGACTATCTTATGCCTGAAATTGATGTGTCCTTGCAATGTTGTGTGTTACTCTGGGATCAGTTGTTTGCACAAGATAAGGAGCTGCGGTGGAGAAGAATGTGGGAGAGAAGGGCTCACTTCTTCAGCTCAGGCTGGAGAAAAAGTGCAAATGAGCCCGACGGGGCTCTGCTCGGTCCATCCTGGACCTGGGAGTTGGTGTCCCACTGAGGTGCTATTTTAACCTGCCCATCCTAGCTTTGGGGAAATATCCTAGCCAGTATTTTATTATCATTTTTTTGATATCCCTATTATCAGTAATGCAAGAAAGAGGCTAATTCTGGTGCAGGCAAGAGGGTTTGGGAGGCAGATCTTAGATGTGAGTGAGAGTAAAAAAACACTTCCTGGGGCTGGGGAGGTGGGGAGAGTTGCTTAGACCTGGACTCCAAGGAAGGGGATAGTTGCGATAGGCCTGGTGGTGGGAGGAGATTTATCCTTCCAGCTCCAGGCAGCTGATGGGTGAGGTGGGGAGGGGGCCTGTGAAGGACTTTGTGGGTTTGTGTTTTTTCTGAGATGGAGTCTCATTCTGTCGCCCAGGCTGTAGTGCAGTGGCACGATCTTGGCTCACTGAAACCTCCACCTCCTGGGTTCAAGCGATTTTCATGCCTCAGCCTCCCAAGTAGCTGGGATTACAGGCATGCGCCACCACACTCAGCTAATTTTTGTATTTTTAGTAGAGACGGGATTTTGCCATGTTGCCCAGGCTGGTCTCGAACCCCTGACCTCAATTGATCTGCCCGCCTCGGCCTCCCAAAGTGCTGGGATTACAGGCGTGAGCCACTGCACCCGGCCATGGCTTTGAAGTTAGCTCTGGGCTAGGTGCTCTCAGCAGAGCCACTTCTAAGAACAGTTATAGGTTGCACTCTGGTGTGTACTTTTCTTTTCCCCCTCAGATTTCAGGAAACTTTTCTTAATTTGCCTTTGGGTGTGCTGTAGAATTAGGAGAAAGCCTGGCACATGGGAGGACAGAGTGAGACCTGACTGGCTCTGGGTGGGATGTGCCAGGGACCGGGGGGCAGGTGGGCAGAGAGTGGTTGGAGGTGAACCTGAGCAGGGTGCCAGGGCCAGAGCCTGGAGAGCTTTGCATGCCATTTGAAGGAAGCTGAACTTACCTTGTAGGCCCCTGAAGGATATTAAGCAAGATGGTGGTGTGATCAAACTTGCATTACAGGGAAACACCCCAGGATTTCTCATGAATTTATAGACAGCTGCAGTGGACGTCTGCTGTTTTTATCTGCCCAGCACCTCTTCCACCCCTGCTGCAGTAACAGAACCCCTCTTTCCTGTGGGGAACCTTTTTCATGTGAAAGGCAGAGCTGACTGCAGTCTTCTCAAAACCAGGGAGTGTGCTCATGACCCAGGCCAGGCCAACAGGAATGCCTGATCGGGCAATGGGTACTGTTTCAGGGACAGGGCTGTGATTCAAGTTTGGGCCTAGGACTTTCCCAAAAGAGCTTCTAGAGGAAACCAATTCATTCTGGTGGGGTCTCTAAGCTGATAGGATAAGAATCTAGTGCTACTGGTGACCAAGAAGGCTTCTTGCCATGTGGAGAGAAAATGTTTGATAGATGGCATGAGACAGAGCCCCAGGGATTTAGTTTGAGGCACAAGATCCAGCCATAGATAATGCCAAGTAGAAACGATCAGGTGAAGGAGAGAGAGACTTAGAGAACCCTGAGGACATGTTGAGCTACTGGATCCAGCCATTCCTGAAGCTTACTTGACTTGCCCTTTTACATAAGCCAATACATTTTTTTCTTGCTTAACTTACTTGGTTGGATTTTTCTCACTTAGGAGTGAGAGTCCTCACTAATAATTGCATGTTCTTCCCGATTGGCTCTTCCCTAGACTCAATATCCCAAATTCAGGCGGGCACGGTGGCTCATGCCTATAATCCCAGCACTTTGGGAGGCTGAGGCAGGCGGATCATGAAGTCAAGAGATCGAGACCATCCTGGCCAACATGGTGAAACCCCATCTCTACTAAAAATACAAAAATTAGCCGGTCATAGTGGCATGTGCCTGTAATCCCAGCTACTCGGGAGGCTGAGGCAGGAGAATCGCTTGAATCCAGGAGGCAGAGGTTGCAGTGAGCCAAGATTGTGCCACTGCACTCCAGCCTGGCAACAGAGTGAGACTCTATCTCAAAAAAAAAAAAAAAAAAATCCCAAATTCATTTTACTTCTGAGATGGTTTCTAGATCCCCCTCCTCCCTGGTCACCCTCCTCTGGATGGAGATGCCCACATTAGTTCCCTGAGGAACCCTGCTTTCTTAGGCTTGTATTGCAGTAAAGTACATGATGGACTCTTCTCTGAAGAAATCGAGATATAAACTTGATACCTGTGGGCTGGATGTTGGTGAGGCCTTTTGAGGGCACTCTGGTCAGGGCCAGGCATGATTGGAAGTAGCTACACTTTTTTTTAAATTTTAATTTTAATTTCAATAGTTATTGGGGTACGATTGGTTTGTGGTTACAAGGATAAATTCTTTAGTGGTGATTTCTGAGATTTTAGTTCACCCATCACCTGAGCAGTATACATTGTACCCAATTTATACTCTTTTATCCCTCAAGTGCCCCTCCCAAGAAGTAGCTACACTTCTATAAAGAACAAAGCAAGGCCGGGCGCGGTGGCTCACGCCTGTAATCCCAGCACTTTGGGAGGCCGAGGCGGGTGGATCATGAGGTCAGGAGATCGAGACCATCCTGGCTAACAAGGTGAAACCCCGTCTCTACTAAAAATACAAAAAATTAGCCGGGCGCGGTGGCGGGCGCCTGTAGTCCCAGCTACTCGGGAGGCTGAGGCAGGAGAATGGTGTGAACCCGGGAAGCGGAGCTTGCAGTGAGCCGAGATTGCGCCACTGCAGTCCGCAGTCCGGCCTGGGCGACAGAGCGAGACTCCGTCTCAAAAAAAAAAAAAAAAAAAAAAAAAAAAAGAACAAAGCAAGCCAGGCATGGTGGCCCACACCTGTAATCTCAGCACTTTTAGAGGCTGAGGCAGGAGGATCACTTGAGGCCAGGAGTTTAAGACCCGCCTGGGCAATATAGCGAGACTCCGTCTCTGTTTTTAAAAAGAAGAAGAAAAAGAACAAAGCAACTTTTCTTGAATATGGGGATTTCTGAGGTCAGCGCCTTGAGCGACCTGTTTCTAAGTGGTAGGGAAAGGAATGTGTCCTCATTTACAGCCAAAAGGATCCCAGGGCTGCCCTGAAATACTGAGGAAACCACTCAGTCATCTTAACTGGCTGCTAATGAGTTGATCCATAATTTAAAAGTGGCTTCAAAGCCACTTTTCTTGCTTTAAGAAACAGCAAAAGGAAGGGGGCAGGGGAGACACAGAGTCAGACCTATCCTTATCTAAGCTGAGGTGGTTTGCGGGGGGCCAGGGTGGAGGGGGTGTGGGCGGTGGGTGCACACATGTGTGTGGGAAGCAGGGAAGAGCATGCCTATTTCCTGCCGGATCCTACAAGGGTTTCTATAATCACCTTCGTGAAGGTGACCTGAGGACCTGCCTTTGACAGAACAGACCTGGATTTAGACTCCTAGATGATGAATCTCCTCCTGCCCCATAGCAACTGCCCTGAACCTCCCCAAGTTCTGCTCTTCTTCTTGCTGATCACTTGGTAAGTTACGCGCAAAACTAAAACCCAAGTGTCCGCCATTTTGGTGTTCTAAGCCCTATGGCCTTATAGGGCCACCTTGCTTTTCATCTAAGAGAAAATAGATCAAGCCCTCAACCCACAATAGAGGAAAACACAAGGTTTCCTGCAATAACTCTGGGGACCTTTTACTCTGATATCCTGTTTCTACTGAAATCCAGTCCTCTCTTCCTCCCTTCCCTCCTTCCTTCCCCCCTCCCTCGCTCCCTTCCCCTTCCTTCCTTCCTTCCTTCCCTCCTTCCTTCCTTCCCTCCTTCCTTCCTTCCCTCCTTCCTTCCTTCCCTCCTTCCTTCCTTCCCTCCTTCCTTCCTTCCTTCCTTCCTTCCTTCCCTCCTTCCTTCCTTCCCTCCTTCCTTCCTTCCCTCCTTCCTTCCTTTCTTCCTCCCTCCCTCCCTCCCTCCTTCCCTCCCTCCCTCAGCTGCTATCATTTCTGCCTTGTATCAAGACAAATGTAAAACATAGATTGTTTTCCTTGATTTCCTCCAAGTAGCTCTAGCATAAGGCATATGAACCATGTTTTTCCTGTGTGTAATTGGGAGAGCTACATTGCATTTTAGCACAGAAAACACCTTAAGGTTGATATTCCTTTGGCTGTGTCCTCTACCCACCTCCCCGCTCCCATGAGCCATTTTGCCTCCTTGAGGCCCAGCCTCCACCAGACTCATTCTCTCTCTCTCTCTCTCTCTCTCTCTCTCTCTCTCTCTCTCACACACACACACACACACCACAGCCAGACTCCCATAGCATCCTTTTCCTCTCTCCTGTGGAGTAGTCAGCCCCCATCCCCCACCCCAGACTGCATCTGGGCCCATCTCTGTCTGCTTAGAAACCCGCTAAAGACCAGCTTTGAAATTACTTTTTCCTTTAACACTACCAAATTATCCGTCATAACTCCTTTCCCTAGCAGCCTCTACAGGCATGAAAAAATGCATCATCCTTTTGATATGAATTATACCACCCCCTTAGAAGGCAGAAGAAGCTAGAATAATTTTGCTGGTTGTTTAAATAGCAGCTTTTTCTTTTCTGTTGCTCAAGTTTAACTATAGCCCAGAGATGCTTCCATCAGCCCCACCTGCTTTGTTGGATAAATCTTACCCCACCTGGCTCTATCCTGCACTTGTCAGCACCTCCCTAGCCACACCCTACCTCCCCAGTACACGAGACTTCTCAAAATAGCCCAAGCCCTTATGTCCCCATTCTGCCTCCCAAGCTGGAGTATCAGCCACAGGCTACCTTGAGCCATAAGAAGGCCCTCTTTTCCCTCCTCCAGGGAGATCTTAGGGCCCTGCTGCTTGTCTGGGGTCAGTCTCCCATGCCACCCTGCTTCTGTGTGGCTGAGGGTCTCCCAGTGTGCGATTCAGACCCAGGGTCCCTAGCCCTGGCAAGTCCCCCGCACCTAGCAGAGCACCTGGCTCATGAGAAGCACTCCAGACACGTTCACCTGCCTCATCCAGAGTTGCACTGTGTCCTGGGCCCAGGGTGGAAGTAGTCAGACTGGAATTCAGTCTCTCAAGGGTTGCACAAACTACAGCCTGCTCCTTGGGCTGCCCCGTGGTTTCTGAGCAGGCAGCCTGCAGAAGAAAAAGAAGCCCGCTCTGAGAGGCGAGACACAGGCCAGTTCTGCTCTCAGCTCACTCCAAGTGCTGGACAACCTCTTTTCCCTACTTGGGCCTCTGTCTGTCATCTGAAAAAGGAGGGGCTGGATTCGATAAGGCCCAGAGAGCTACAGTGGAGTCCTGGGAAGGGGATGACCTTACCTCTGGTAGGAGTTCACTATGGTGCCTGGAGACAGGTGGCCCGCGAGGGCAGAGGCTGTGCTGCCTCAGCTGGAGGGATGAAGGCTGCACCAACTCCTGGCCTGGGATGTCCAGGATGGTGGCCCCCTGGGGTGTGGCTGGGGTGCAGTGGGTGAGGCAGAGAGCCACTCAGGATGGGGCTGGAGAGACAGGCAGTTGCATGTAAGCCATAGCAAGGTATCAGTATTTTGTGGTAAGTGCCATGGAAAGCCATCAAGGAGGTTTTTGTGGGGGCCTGACATGATCTGATTTGTTTTTAAAGATCGTGCTGCCTTCGTGCAGAATGGACTAAAGAGAGGCCAGAGGAGAATCAGGGCCATGCAGGGGCAGGCGCATTGGTCCGAGTGGGAGAGCAGGGTGCCAGACGAGGGTAAATGGTGGGGATGGAGGTAGAAATGATCATTTTTGCAGTCAATTAGGTGGGTAAGGATACTGGACAACCGGGGTCTCTTACCACCTAGTTTCCAGCAGTTTCACCAGGACTCAGGTACCTCTGTCTGTCTACATATAAGGCGGCTCAGATAGCCTCAGGAGGAAGGGTGGTCAGATGGGCTAGGGTTCCCAAACTTCACTGCTAACCTAAAAGGTGACTAAGGTGGGAGGCTTGTGTCTTCCTACCAGTGACTCCAGGAAGGATAGGAACTGATGGGAGCAGAGGTTGGGCTGCCTGTGCAAGGGGTTGGAGCTTGGCCGCCCCCCTGCATCAGCACTGGGGGCGAACATCCCAAACGTCATCAGCCTCCAGGCCCAAAACTGGCCTTGCCTGCAGCCCTGTCCCTGCAGCAGTGAAGACTAGCTCCCGCTGGCCAACGAGCTGAGATTCAGGAACCCTCTCTTCTAGAGGTGCTTCAGACTCAGCTCGGTCCGCTGCAACTCCCAGAGGCCTTTGGGCTGATTTCCTGCTTCCGGCTCTGCTGGCCAGGGGTGGCTGATGGAGGCAACTCAGTTGATTGAGTTTGCCTGGCAGGCAGATTGATGTTCTCTGGGAATGGGAATAGAGGCGGGATCCTGCGAGACAGAGGAAGAGGGAGAAGAGCAAATAGGGGCTTGGTGTGAGAGGGGTGGGCCATTTGCTAAATAAAATTTAAATCCTTGCCGTGGTGGCTGCCAAGAAGAGAGAAGTGACTGATGAAAACCATATGTCTCTAAGTAAGTGGAAAGACAAACCCTGCTTGGTGTGTGGAAGATGTTGCTGTTGGTCTCCCATGCAATGGAAAAATCTCCTGTTTTAAAGAATACAATGTTAAGAGGCACTCTGAGACAAACCACATTTCGCAATTAAGTAGTTTACAAGGTCAGTAAAGGAAGGACAAAACAAACCAGCTGAAAAGGTCTTGCTCAATAACAAAATTTGTTTAAAAGTTGAATCTTACAGTCCGAAACTGTAATATAGGCTCATCACATAGTTTTTAGAAAAAACAAATAGCCAAAAAGATGAAACTTTTGAGGGATGGAGAAGCAGATCAAAGTGCTTTAAGTACTGATACAGCTATTGTATCTCCTAATGTTTGAAAAAAAAAAGAGTAATTAAAAAAAGAACTTAAACTGTATCACTTTTTACTTTTTGTAAATTGACCCAGAGACAAACCAAAAGCAGAGACACAGACAAACGTAACTACTGTTCATTCCGTCTGCAGAACAGAATTCTAATTTCATCATCCAACATTCAAGTTCCAGCATAATGTGGTTCCAACTGTCCTTTTTTTGAATTTTCCTCCACGGAACACTGTTGCCCCTGTCCCTCTCCCCCACCGCCTCGCCCCGCCACACAATCCACCCTGTTTCAGGCTGCCACCGTGGGGCTTCCTGGTACACCTACTTCCCCCTGGGATGTCTTTCCTCCCAGCTGTATGGAAAAATGTTAGCCCTTCTTTAAGACTATCAATTTCCAAATTCTACCCATTCCACCATAATTTCCATTTGATACTTTTGCATAGATTCCAGTTCTCCGGTGAAATTCTCCGTCTTGTCATCTGTTTTCTTAACTATGTTAATCACACTTATTTTGAAGTCTGTGTCAGGGAGCTCCAGTATCTGGGTCACCTGCAGGGCTGTTTCTGTGACGGAGATACTTTTTGGCTCCGACTGATGCTGTCCTTCATCATGGAGGATTTACTTCATTTTCCGGAAGGCAGTTAGAGAAGGGAAGGTCATTCGTAATCCAGGCTGCGGTTGAGCTGGTTTGAAGCTGTCAGGCTTTTTGAAGGCCGCTCTATTTCCAGCTCACCCTGCCTCCTGGTGTGTAACCCATCTGAGGTTCTCGCTGGAAGTCTGGCTTGTTCTTTAGGGCTCTTCCTCTTTGGTGGGCCTTCAACTCCAAGTCTGTCTTCCAAGCCCCACGAGACTGCCAAAAACTCTGCTCAGCTTCCCGGTCTCTTAGCCATGCTTCACTCCTTGGCTGGGTGCTGCTTACGGATCCGTGAATGCCTTCCAGAGAAAGGGGCCTTAGAAGCTAACCTCCACGTGCTTCTCTTCCCCAGACATCTTGGCCCCCAGGTCTGCTTGTCTTGTAGTTTGAACTCCAAATTTATCTCCCAGCCCTTCGAAATTGCCAAAGTCTCCTACTCAAGTTCTCAGCTTCTTATCCACACTTTCTGCTTGGCTTTAGCCTCTTGGCCCCCATGCTGCTCATGAATCAGCAGATGCCTCAAGGGGAAGAGTGGCTCTGAGGCTACCCACAGGCTTCCCTTCCCCCGGGGACCCTGCCCTCTCCAGCCTGGCTGCCCTCAACAGACAGCTTTTGGACTTTATCCAGCTCATTCCTGGTGGGAGGACTGGCCTCTAAGGAGCTACTCTGACATTGCAGAAAGTGAAGTCTTCTATCCATCCGTTAGAATGTAAGCTCCGTGAGGGCAGGAACCATGTCTCTGCCACTGCTGAGCTCTCTGGCTGATCTCAATCATGGCTTTAAACATTCCTGAATGCCTGTCTGCAGCCCAGAGCTCTGTTCTGAGCCCCTAGCCCCACGTATCTAAGTGCTTCCTTGTCGTCTCCATGCAGCTGCCACACAGATATCTCAAACTCAACACGTCCAAAATCTTGTTCTTCTACCCAGATCTGCATCTCCTCCCTTCATCCTGCTGCTTACGTCAGAAACCCCAGGGTCACCGTGACAATTCCTGCTCCCTCCCCTCCCACATCCAATCTCCCCGTGTTGCCGATTCCACCTTAAACGTCACATGAAGTCATCCTCCCCTTCTTGAAGCCACAACCTTGTCCCCAAGACTGTGCCCTCATGTAGGTTACTCAGTAGTCCCCTCACAGTCCCCTAGAGCCATGCTGGCCTCCTTCCAACATGCTGGCCAGCCACCCTGTGGGCAGAATGATCCCTTGAACACAAAAATCGGATGATGTCATTTCTCCGCAGAACATCCTCCAACGACTTCCCACTGCTTTTAACAGAAAGCTTTGAAGATATACTTTCAAGGAGCCACTGGTCTGCCTGGGCTGCCCCAAGCCCCCTCCCAGTCTCTCCTGACTCTTGACCTTGAACACACTGCATCCACTGGGCCTTCTCTGTCCTGCCAGCACCAGGAGCTCCTTTGCCCAGGCCTTCACACGTGCCCTTCTCCTGCCAGGAAACACCCTCCCCCCATGTCTGCCTCTCTGCTGCTCATTCTGCAGGTCCCAGCTAAATGGCCCCTCCTTAGGGGAGCTTCTTGGACGTCCATAATTGGTTAGGTGCCCCTGATCACTCACCATCACTGCATCCTCCACTCTGCTTATAGCGCCCAGCACAGTCTTCTTCGTTAATTGAGAGATCACTGCCTCGCTTTCTCCCCTACTAGACTCTAACCTCCCTGAGGCCAGGAACCGTGTCTGTCTTGGTCACCACTTTATCCCCAGCACTAGCAAATTACCCGGGGTACCTTAAAAGACTTGTAAATAATTTTTTGAATAAATGAATAAAAGATGGACAAGGACAGCAGATGGCCATACCCCAAGCCCCGGGCCCCCAGCAGAAGGCCGTGTAGGGAGCACTTGGCAGTCAGGGCAGCTGGGAGAGGGCTTTTAGTTAGCCAGTGTCTGAGGGTGAGACTATGAAAATAAGCGATTGTATCTAATGCCATCTTCTGCTGTCCAGGGAGCCGGCAGATCTGGGTTCCAGTCCCAGGTCTGGCACACATCATGACAAATAGCATTTTTATGATGCTTCACAGTTTACAAGGCATTTCCACAGATGGGATCGAATTAAACCGGCTCTGTGACCTCCAACAAGCAGCTCTGAGAGGCCCCTGGGGAATAAGGAGCCAGGGAGCCGGCTCCTGAGCCAGCTCTGCCGTCAGCTCCACATGCTGGTTGGTAAGGCTCTCCAGCCTGAGTCTTCTCATCTGTTAAACGAAGGGGTCCAACAAGATGACCTCTAAGGTTTGTCTGTGACATTTTAGATTTAGAAATTCAGACCTACCCAAATCAGAAAGCAAGTTTTTGGAGTCCCCTTCTCAAATAGCTGCTCCCCACTTTCAGCATAAGTAGCAGGGCAGCGTCACCAGAGGCTCTTAACAGTACCGGGGTGACTTAGCCTTCGTGTGACTTTGTGTCACACCAAAGCAGAACCTGAAACCAGGGCTTTTTTTAATTTTTATTTTTTGAGATGGAGTTTTGCTCTTGTCACCCACGTTGGAGTGCAATGGTACTATCTCGGCTCACTGCAACTTCCGCCTCCCAGGTTTAAGTGGTTCTCGTGTCTCAGCCTCCCAAGTAGCTGAGATTACAGGCATGCACCACCATGCCTGACTAATTTTTGTATTTTTAGAAGAGACGAGGTTTCACCATGTTGGCCAGGCTGGTCTAGAACTCTTGACCTCGGGTGTTCTGCATGCCTGGGCCTCCCAAAATGCTGGGATTACAGGCGTGAGTCACTGCGCCCAGCCTGAAACCAGGGCTTTTGAGAGCTGACACCAGAGCAGGAATAAGGGGCTGGGGAGAGAGAGGTGGGAAAGAGGAGAAGCCCAGGTGGGCGTCCAGGTGTGTCTAGGTCACCTCCAGGTGTCTAAAGGCCTTGACTCCACCAGAACGTGCTGAGAAGCCACAGAACCCCTCCAGAGCTGTCACCCAGAAGTACAGGTGAGGGAGCTTCTCTACCAGCTCCCAGCCCCACTGGTTGAAGGTCAGTGTTGCTCTGAACTGCGGGGTGGTGTGTAACTATAGCCTGAGGGGTCTACTTGATACAGAAGGTTCTGAGGCAGAAAATGAGGCCTTACAAGGCCTTGAGGCAACACCGGATCAGTGAGGGAAGAACTAGGTTCACAGGAACCTGTCCATGTAGCAGCACCTGAAATCAGGTGTCGCCTGGAGCATCAGGGCATCTAATGCAAATTGCAAAAGGGCAGGATGACTGCTGTCCAACCCTGCCCAAGAACCAGTGCTGGGATTTCCTCCCACACCCCCATCAACCCTCTGCTCTCTGAATGTCAAGGCCCCTCACCCGCTTTTCTGGGGAGCTTTTTGGTGTCTTGTGTCATTGGAAATGGAGGATGCCTCTCTACCGGGGCAATTCAGATGGGGCTCAGCAAAGCCTTGGGATACAAGCAACTGTCACTCTGCTGGGCAGTCCCTGAGGACTGGATGCTGTGATGGGTGCCCTGCCCCACAATGAGGCAGTGCTGGTCCATGTGGCTCCTCCCCCTCCTCCCCTGGGCAGTGAGTAGTTCTCCCAGGGTTGGCAATGGTGATGCTCTTGGTACCGTCTGGAGACCCTCACTCAGGCTCCCTGGTGACATGGTGCTTCCTCCCTGTCTTCCTCATCTGTCCTTTTATTAACTTTAGACTCTGCTTCCCTCACCTTCCCCCCGATTCTTAAATATCTGATTTGTTAGTAAAAAAGGAGCATAGGCTGCTTCTAGCTTTTTCCCTCACACTCTAACAATTCTGCTTTTCCCCCAGGCAATGTGAATGGGAGACTGAAGAAAAAAAAATGTCTCTCATGAGAAGATGGGGGAAAGAACACGAAGATTTAAATTTCAAGATATTGTTGCCACCTTCTCCACACTGCTGTGGGAGTCCATGGCATCCCGTTTGACCCTAGGAAATGTACCTGGTGGGCTCTCCATCCTGGCCAGGACTTTGACAGGCCACTGCACTCTCAGGCCCTCTGCACCCCCTCCCTGGGGCATGTGGGAGCTTCTGGGTCCCTGCTTGGTGCCATCAGGCCAGGGAAGCCAGGCGCTCTGCCTCGGGCACTCCTGCCCTGCACCCTGCACCCTGCACCCTGCATCCAGCTGGAAGTGGATAAGAGCATGAGGCAGGCTTCTAGAGATGTGCAGGCTCCCAAGACCCCTGCCCAGGGAGCTCAGGGATGTTCCTAAGCAGCCCCGCCCCATCCACCCCATCCCTGGATAGCTAGTGCAGGGCAGTCTCACTTCCTCACTGCCTTCTTCAGCTCCTCTCTCCCCAAGACCAGCAGGGCAGCCCTGCCATCCTTTTTCTTCCTGTCTACTCAGGAGGCCCCCATAGAAATCAGGATCTGCTCCCCGAGGCCTGCTTCTTGCCACACAAAAGGAATTTAGAAAATCTTCCCTCCAGACAGAGCATAGCTTTTCAGCCTGCTTGTTTGCTGGAAACTCAAACAAAAGTCTAACTGATGTTGGGAGCCGGGGAGCGACTTGCCTCAACAGGATCCACCTTTGTCCCCAGCATGGGACTACTGCAGTGGAGGAGCCCCCTGGGCTGCAAGACTCAGGCTGAGGAAATAGATTTGAAATAGTTTCAAATATATCCTCCCATGTACACATTCCTTTAATTATACTTATGGTGAGGCACTGAGTTAGGACTTAACCCCTTGACATGTAAAAAATAGCTTTATTAAGATATAATTGACATATCATACAATTCACTTTTTAAAATCATGCAACACAATGGTTTTTAGTATATTCACAGCTGTACAACCATCACCGTCATCTAAGATCAGAATATTTTCACCTCCCTAGAAAGAAACTCCATGCCCATAAGCAGTCACCCCTGAGTCCCCTCACCCCCCAGCTCCCAGCAGCTACCAATCTACTTTCTGTCTCTATGGATTTGTCTATTTTGGACATTTCCTATAAATAGAATCCCACCATACATAGTCCTTTGTGACTGACTTCTTTCGCTTCACATAATGTTTTTAATATTTATTCGTATTGTAGCGCGTATCAGTACTTCATTTCTTTTTATTGCCAAATAATACCCTACTGTATGGATATACTGCATTTCATTTAATCAGTAGATGGACATTTGGGCTGTTTCCACTTTGGGGCTATTATGAATAATGCTGCTATGAAGACTCGTGTGAAGTTTTTGTGTGGACATTGTTTCCATGTCTCTTGAGGACATACTTGGGCGTGGAGTTGCTGGGTCCTACAGCAACTGCTTAAAGCTGCAAGGAGCTGCCAAATTCTTTCCCAAAGCGGCTGCACCATCTGACATTCCCACCAGCAATGTATGAGGGTTTCGATTTCTCTGTATCTTCATCAGCACTTATTACTTGTTTTTTTTTTTTTTTTTCCTGTTGTTGTTTTGAGACAAGGTCTTGCTCTGTTGCCCAGGCTGGAGTGCAGTGGCACAATCTCAGCTCACTGCAACCTTTGCCTCCCGGGCTCAAGCGATCCTACCACCTCAGCCTCCCGAGTAGCTGGAGCTACAGGTGCGTGCCACCATGCCAGGGTACTCTTTGTATTTTTTGTAGAGACAGGGTTTCACTATGTTGCCCAGGCTGGTTTTGAACTCCTGGGCTCAAGAGACCCGCCCGTCTCAGCCTCCCAAAGTACTGGGATTACAGACATAAGCTGCCACGCCCGGCGCTTATTACTTGTTCTTTTGATTTTGACCATGCTGGTGGGTGTGAAGAGGTATCTCACTGTGCTTTTGATCTGCGTCTCCCTGATGGCTACTGATGTTGAGCTTCTTTTTATATGCTCATTGGCCATTTATGTATCTTCTTACATGTCTATTCAAATCTTTTGCCCATTTTTAAGTTGGCTTATTTGGCCTTTTATTGTTGAATTGTGAGAATTTTTTATATATTCTGAATGCAAGTTTCTTTTCAACTCTTCTCGAATTCTAAGAGACACCTAAATCAGGGTCGGAGCCGGGGTTGTAGTTTTACCGGTCTGTAAAACTGTAAGTTGCAAGGTGACAGAAACCTTGCAAAGAATACATTCTGTTCCACACAGAGGGTTCCTGCAGAGGTGGATCCTGGAGGAGAAGGATGTAGAACTGCCCTTCCCCAGAACCTCCTCCCTCCTCAATTATACCCCTTTCAAAATCTCTGCTGAAGAGGAGTTTAAGGGATGTAATGGGCTGGAGATGGATAGAGAGGCAGGTTGGTTAGTGTATCAAAGGCAGAATCATATGGAGGGAGGATTTCTCTCTCTTTTTTAAAGAACACTAGCTTTTATTTCTGGGACAAATGAGATGGTACATAAAAAAGCATTTTGAAATTATAAAGGAATATGCAAATGTAAAGTGATATTCTTATTGTTAGTATTGTTATTGTAGGAACCAATGAAAACCCTCTCTGTGATGAAATGACAGAGCCTGCGGGGGTGCAGGGAAGGCAGGGGTTGGGGAGTTAGGGGGATGAAAGATCAAGGAGAGAGAAGGGTAGCAGAGTTTGCAAACCTTGGGGTCTGTGTGTGAGTGAGAGAGAGAGAGAGACTGAGAGAGAGAAAAAGAGACACAGAGAGAGAGATTCATGATTTCTGGCATATTTCTTTACCACCTGTATAATTATTTACTTAATATTTTTGAATAGGTTCCTATTTCTTTTAATTAAACAGATATGTTTATAGAGGAAACTTTAGATCACAGTAATAAATGGCAAACCTGCATCATTTTCAATATGGAAGATACCTTTATATAAACAAATATAATGAAAACCAGTGTTATTAAATTCTCGCTGGATCCCGTGGTCATCTGGGTCTGTGCAACTGGCCCTGATTTCTTAGCCTGGTTCACTCGTCCCCGTCACTCAGGTCTCTGCTCCGGTGCTTCCATGACCACCAGCACCTCCATCGTCACACCCTCTCTCCCCCGCTCCCTGCTTTCCTTCTTCCGCAGCACGTATGGCTGTCTAAGGGATGTGGGTGCACATATGCGCGTCTGGATCTGTGAGGGCAGGACATCATCTGTCTCATTCACCTCTGTCTGCACTACCTCGCTCAATGAATAGTGGTTGAGTCAGTAGCTTAAAGCTCTGGGCTCCAGGGCAGCTCTCTCTTTTGTTTTTGTTTTCTTTTTGGCAAGTGTCAGCCAGGTGTCAAAGTCACAACCAGCCAGTGCCAAGCTGCCACTTGCACCTCGATGTGATGAGGAGCACTGAGGCTGGAGAAGGAAGTGGCTTTCTGGGTGTGATCCTGCAGATCATCTGGCTTCCCCAAGTTTCCTGCCCCATGCTTTGGGAATCCACAGACCCACATCTTGTCCACTTATCAGCTGACTGACCCAAGAGCGTCACTTCACCTCACCAGCCTCCGCCTTCCCTAGAGCAAAGAAGCAAGGACACCCTACTGCCCTCAATGAGCTGCTTGAGCCTGAATGTAGACAGTTTACATGCACACACCTGGCAGATAGAAGCTGCTTAATCAACGATGGTAGAAGCTCAAAGGGGTTAGCAGAAGATGGGGTTTGACCACTGGCTTAGCCTGCAAAAGTCCTACCCTTCCTTCCAGGCCTAACTCTTTTTTTTTTTTTTTGAGGTGGAATTTCACTCTTGTTGCCCAGGCTGGAGTGCAATGGCAAGATCTTGGCTCACTGCATCCTCTGCCTCCTGGGTTCAAGAGATTCTCCTGTCTCAGCCTCCTGAGTAGCTGGGATTACAGGTGCATGCCATCATGCCCGGCTAATTTTTGTATTTTTAGTAGAGATGGGGCTTCATCATATTGATCAGTCTGGTCTCGAACTCTTGACCTCAGGTGATCTGCCTGCCTCGGCCTCCAAAAGTGCTGGGATTACAGGCATGAGCCACCATGCCCGGCCCAGGCCCAACTTTTAAAAGTAGTAATATAATTTACCCTTATTTTTGTTTGTTTTGAAACAGGGTCTCACTCTGTCACCCAGGCTGGAGTACAGAGGCACGATCTTGGCTCACTGCAACCTCCACCTCCTGGGTTCAAGCGATTCTCATACCTCAACCTCCCCAGTAGCTGGGACTACAGACACACGCCACCACACCTGGCTAATTTTTGTATTTTTAGTAGAGATGGGATTTCGCCATGTTAGCCAGGCTGGTAATTTACCCTTTATTGAGAACTCAATACATAGCAGGTATCTTGCTAAATAAGAGCTTCACATACACCCATCATTTTATTTTATGCCTGCAATACTTATGAAGTAGGGATTTATCATTCCCCTTTTACAGATGAGGAAACTGAGGCTTACAGTATTTTATGACTTGCTTGAGGTGATGCAGTAAGAAGAGATGCTGCCAGGCCTTTCAGATTTCAGAGCCCATGTTCTTAACCACCGCATGATAACAGCAACTTAAATGCCACCACCTACATGAAAGCTTGGTGCCCAGCAAGCCTTTCCTCTTCTAAACACTCGTAACTCTGTACTCTTCCCCGTCTGTGACATCTGCCTCCATCTGCTTTAGTGTGTGTATATATGTGTGTGTGTGTATGTGTGTGTGTGTGGTGAGCACACATTTCTTTTTTTTTTTTTTTTTTCTTACTCCCTTAAAAGAGCATGAAGAGCATACGTTCCTTGAGGGTTGAAGTCATGTTCAGTCCTCTCTCTCCCAGGGTCAAGCCAAGTCCCTGGCACACTGTGGATATTCTACCTGTGTCTGGTGAGCAGATGAAGGAATGAGGGCCCCGGGTTTCCTTCTGCCAGGCTCTATCCCCATGGAGGACAGTCAAAGAAAAAGCAGGCAGTTGCACTTCAGAGATATAAATAAGCGTCATCAGAGAATCACTGGGATGTTTACTCAGGAGAGCATAGGGAAGATGTGTTCTAGAACAAGGAGACCAGCCTTTCATGACAAAGGTGGGTGTGCAGACCCTCCTGGAGGCAGGGGAGGGAGTGATGGCTTCTGGAAGGCCCTCCTGGCCTGTGATGTTGATGCCTGTGCTGGACGTTGTCTCTGTCTGCCCATCCTGCTCCGCCCTGTTCTCTTCCCTGTAGGAGATCACAGAAAGAGGAGAGAGTGGGGCTGGGGTGGTGCTTCCAGGTGGGTGGTGCTGGGTCGGGTAGCAGCTCTTTGTTGTTGGGCTCAGGAGTCTGTGTTATCCAGTTATCCATGTGACTTCCCTACACCCTGAACACATCTTTGTGGAGAGTCCTTTTTTTAGACCCTTTTCACATGATCCTGATTTGATGGTGCCCTTTGTTCCTGCAGAGACCCTGACTGATGGGGTGGAACGCCCTTTTCTGTACTTTTTGGGCCACTCCCTGAGGTTGGATCTATGCTGATATATTTCGGCATCCCCATGCCTGGCATAGTCCTGGGGTTGTGGTTCCTTGTTTATTTTTTATTTTGATTTGTTAGAGACAAGGTCTTGCTCTGTCACCCAGGCTGAAGTGCAGTGGTATGATCATCGCTCACTGCAGCCATGAACTCCTGGGCTCAAACGATCCTCCTGCCTCAGCCTCCTGAGTAGCTGGGACTACAGGTGTGCTGGTGTGCACCTCTGCACCCAGCAGGTTGTAGGGTTTTTTTGTTTTTTTGAGACAGGGTCCTAGGCTGGAGTGCAGTGGTGCGATCTTGGCTCTCTGCAACCTCTACCTCCCAGGTTCAAGCGATTCTCCCATCGTAGCCTCTGGAGTCACTGGGACTACAGGTCATGCCACCATGCCAGCTAATTTTTGTATTTTTTGGTAGAGACAGGGTTTCTGCATGTTGGCCAGGCTGGTAGCAAACGCCTCACCTCAAGTGATCCACCAGACTTGGCCTCCCAAAGTATTGGGATTAGAGGCGTGAGCCACCATGCCCAGCTAGGTTGTGGTTCAAATAGCTAGCATTTATTGAGCACTTACTATGTGCCTGACATTATTCCCTGTATTCGTCAATCCTCACAACAATCCCATGATTATCATCCCCACTTACAGATGAGGAAACTAAGACACACAGATATTGAAGAGCTTGTCCCAGGTTACAATGGGGTGGATCTGGGATTGGAGCCCAGGCACTGTGACTCCTGAGCTGACAGTGTGACTCTCAGCCCCATCTTTGGACTGCCTTTCTGCTTGTTGTATGGGACTGATGCCTCTTAGCTTTGGGATTGAAAATAATTTGCTTCTTTGCTAACTCAGCAACTCAGGTGGAATGGGAATGAAAAGAATTTGTTTCTTTGCCAACTCAGTAACTCAGGTGGAATGGGCAGAAGGTGGAATGTAGGTCACCATGGCAACTGGATCAACGAGGTGCCTCAGCTGGCGAGTCCTTGAGGCTGAGGTTCTACTGCTGGCAGACAGAAAGGTGTGGTTGGCATGGGGCAATGCTTGAGGTATCAGATGCACTGGGAGGACCTGGAAGAGTACCAGGTGGGTAGATCGGGCTAGGGACTCTGGGCAGAGGTGGGAGCTTCCTAAAGCAGGTGGAATGAATGGGAAAATTCCTTCCTGACGCTCTAGCAGGGGTGTCCAATTTTTGGCTTCCCTGGGCCACATTGGAAGAAGAATTGTCTTGGGCCACACATAAAATACACTAACACTAATGCTTGCTGATGAGCTAATAAAAAAAAATCACGAAAAAATCTGATAATGTTTTAAGAAAGTTTACAAATATGTGTTGGGACCCCATTCAAAGCTGTCCTGGGCTGCATGTGGCCTGCAGGCCGTGGGTTGGACAAGCTTGCTCTAGAGTTTACCAGGCGGGGTAGCGGTGGTCCCTCTCTTTGCTAAATCTGCATCCATGTGGCCCAGATGAGATCTCTAAGGTTACCTTCCTCCATCTGTCTCCTGCACCAGAGCCCAGAGTTTCACTCTTGTCTCTGATCTGCTCTCCACATCTGTGCCAATGCCCTCCTTCCCAGGGCTGTAAGAGACTAGGGGGTAAGAAAGAGCACCATTTCCTCTCCTGCTGCCACCTCAGGCATCCACCTCAACCTGGGGTTCCCCCAGCTGTGCAGCAAAAGAATGGGCATTTCCTCCCCAGCCTCTGAATTGCGCCACTCCCCAGGGGCCACAGCAGGGATGAATGGAGTGGACACGTCGCTTCTCTGTGATTTGTTGCAGGCCCTGACCTTCCTGACCAGAAATGAAATTCTGTGGTGAGTAGAAGCCCCGCCCCTCTTTCCTTCTCCCAGCTCCTCCCTCTGAGCTGGATTCTTGCCCTAATACAGCCTCACGCTGGTCCCTGAGTGTGGTCCCTGCTCAGAGCCACACAGCCCTGGAGATGGGGCTGGGACACGGCAGGCAGGGATGGGAGGGCCCAGGGGCCACGATCCGCAGAGCCCCACTGGAGCTGAATGAGACACCAGGCTTTAGGCTGCTAACCTTTTACTGGGATCCAAAGTGAGGTTTCTTCAGAGGATCATGGAGCTGGACAGAACCTCTTTGGAATAATGAGGAGAACAAGGAAAGGACTTGGGGAACTTATGTCTGAAGCCCATTTTGGCTGTCCACTGGCTGGGTAAACTTGGATGCATGACTGAAGCCCAGACTTCCCTCTCCACCTCCCTCCCTCCCTCCCTCCCTCCCTGCCCTTTCTCCGGTGCCTGTGATGTGCTGGCCTCGTGGAGGCCCTGAGGGTGGGGTGGTGAGCAGCCCCGCTCCCTGTTGTCATGCGGACCGCTGTCCAGTGGGGAAGAAACTTCATTCAACGTGGAGGTGGCCAAATACCCTTCTCGTGGGGCTGTGGGGGAGAGTGAATAGTGTGAGAGGTGTGTGTGTGTTTGTGTGTTTGGGCCAAGCCAGGTGCCCAACAAAACCTGTTAGATGAATAAAGGAGCTCACCAAGACACTTTCAGGGGAAGGTGGGGGAAGGTTCCCTCTCATCATCTTTGCTTGGACTAACCCTCCCCAGTCACCACACGGAAGCCACATTTCCCACTCAGGGTCTGGTGGTGGCAGGTAACAACTTTGTCACAAGTGCAAGACTCTCCAGGCACAAATGAGGATGGGGGATGGCCAGGGCACGGGGAGCTAACCAGGGGCTGTCACCCAGTGACATTGTTTCCCTTTTGAAAATAATATTCACTCACTTTTTTAAATATAGAAAAATATGACATAACTCCAAATGACCCATATCCTACTACCCATATAACCTCTATTGAAATTTTCTGAAAAGTATCACATGAATAAAAATAAAATGAAATCTAAAAAAAAATGCTACCTGGCTAGAAAATTCAAAATTCAAATAATGGTTCTCAGTCATAAGTGGGAGTTGAACAATGAGAACACATGGACACAGGGAGGGGAACATCACACACTGGGGCCTGTTGGGGGGTGGGGGTCTAGGGGAGGGATAGCATGAAGAGAAATATCTAATGTAGATGACAGGTTGATGGGTGCAGCAAACCACCATGACATGTGTATACCTATGTAACAAACCTGCATGTTCTGCACATGTATCCCAGAACTTAAAATATAATTTAAAAAAAAAAAAAGAAAATTCAAATAGTGTAAAAGTTCTAAGTGAAAAGAAAATGTCTCCATTCTCTCCTCCCAGTCCTTTTCCCTCAAGGCCGCCTCTGCTCACTGTTGGTTTGTCTTACCATCTAGCCTTCTGGAAGAATTTTCCATACATAAGCCAACACATTTATCCTCCTTTTACCCCATTCACATGGTTGCATTTATCCCTTCATACTGTTCTGTACCTTTTTTTTTTTTAAGCTTTTGGGGTTTTTTTTGAGACAGAGTCTTGCTCTGTCTCCCAGGCTAGAGTGCAGTGGTGCAATCTTGGCTCACTGCAACCTGTGCCTCCCTGGTTTAAATAATTCTCTTGCCTCAGCCTCCTGAGTAGCTGGGACTACAGGTGCCTGCCACCACGCCCGGCAAATTTTTGTATTTCTGTAGAGATAGGGTTTCACCATGTTGGCCAGGCTGTTCTCAAACTCCTGACCTCCAGTGATCCTCCCACCTTGGCATCCCAAAGTGCTGGGATTACAGGGGTGAGCCACTGCACCCGGCCTACATTTTAGAACTTCGATGGGTGAGACAATGTTGTCCTTCAAAGGAGTTGCACCAGTTTGTACTCTCAGCAAGGGGGCATGGCCATGCCTGCCCCTCTTTCTAACCCAGGGGCTTCAAATGGCATTCATGGATCCACCCCTGGGGTTCCTCCTATATGCCAGGAGAGAGCATGGGGTGGTGGACGAGAGGAGTGAGAGGAGTATGGGAAGGGTTCAGGCTCTCTCTCGAACATCGATCCTCCATTTTCATTTGTTCTGCCTTGGCCTTCGGAGAAAGAGTTCCTTGGAAGCGAGCCATGCTTATGGACGCCTCCCTTCTGAACCTCCCACCCAGGACCTGAGACGACCTCCTCCCAGATCCTGTTTCCAGTCTGTTTCCATCCCTGTGGAAGGTGCCTTTCCCCGGAGAAGAGCACAGTTTGGCTCCGCGTTGTGTTGGGGAGGTGGGTCCCTGTGAGTGCTGCCAGGGAAGGCTCCAGTTCACAGTTCACGGTTCATGGTTCAGTGCAAACTTCTCTAACAAGCAGTTCTTAAAGCTCTTTCTGTCCTGCCCCTTCTCTTGAGAGACCCATTCCTGAGCATGAAGGGCCTGTGCCTGCCCCTGGGTAGCTCCTGCTCAGGAGGCTCCCACTCTCAAAGGCCGGCGTGCGTCAGCGCTGGGGGTGGTGGGGTTGGGGACGCCACTGCATAAGGAAGGCAGAGTAGAGGGCAAAGTATCCAACTCCTATTACTTGGACACCTTCAGATAAGACAGAGTGAGAAGCACTAGTGGGGCCAGGGACAGCAGTGCAGAAACTCTCAAATGGGAAGGTGATACCAGTGAGAGCCCTCTGCTGCTTTAAACCAAGGGGAGTCTCCAGACCCAGGAGACCACAGCCTGGGAAGCAGCTGAGAATGTGGAATAGCTGTCAAGAGCTTTGAAGAGTGGAAGAGGACCAGCGAAGGCAGGAGATGCTGAAATGTCCCAGTTCAAAATGAGAAGTACACCTTGACCCAGCCATTCCACTTGCATGAAGAGGACACAGGTGAAGTAAGTGCTGATTCATCCCTCTGTGGAAGACTGCCCTTAGAGAGGAGGGGAAGAGCTTTCTGTTTGATATAGAGCCATCTCCAAGGTATATTATTAAGTTAAGAAAGCAAAGTTCAGGGGGCTTCCAGTTACGTGGAGAATAGAGCATTTTCTTTGACCTCTGTTTACTAAAAGGAGAGTAAAGGAATTAAAAAAAACAAAAAGAAGAAGAAAGAAACCCATAAGGACAAAGAGAACACAAGCAATGACAGCAGATGAGAGAGGTCAACAAAAATTTTACAAGTGCAAAGCAGATAGACCCATGACGCAGACTTAGCTGAATAGAAAGTTGAAAGAATTTTGCCTGCAGGGGTTGGATGATGGAATCGAGAACGCAGAAAGGCTCAGGAACCTCCAAATGCCAGGATGCAGGATCAGGTGAAAACAGAAAGGCAGATTGAAAGTCTTATGTGATTCCTTCTCTCTCCCTCTGCAATCCACAATCAACTTGGCACCCCTGCCCTGCCCCAGCGGAAGACAGGAGCTAACCATCTGGGGAGAGCTGGAGCCAGACAGGCCCCTGACTCAGGGCCACCAGCATGATGAAGAGCAGGGTGAGCTTCTGGTCAGCATTTTAGAGCCTCCCTGTAAGTAGAAATCGAAAGCTAAGGGACACCAGGTATTTGAGGAAAGAATAAAAAACGGCCTACACACACTAAGTCATGCCATCATGACATTTCAGACTGGCAGAGATGATGAGAAGATCCTGAGTGCTTCCACGGAGAGCAAAACAGACTACAGAGAATCAGGAATGAGAATAGCTTTGGACTTATGTTGGAAGACAGTGGCTAAACACATTCAAAATTCTAAGGAAAAAATTTCAATCTAGAAATAAGTTCTAGCTAAGCCATTAATCAAGAGTCAGGGCAGGATAACAATACTTTTTGTCATGCAAATTAAAAAAATCATCTCTTATGGACCTTTTCATAGGAAGCTTTTGGGAGATGTGCTTCATTAAAACTAGCGAGTAAACCAAGAAAAAAGAAGACCCAGGATCGGGGAAACAAAGGCTTTCAACCTAGAGGCAAAACGAATTACAAGGAAGATAGTGAAGGGAAGCTGAAGGATGACAGCAGGACAGTCGGCCTGGAAAGCAATCAGTCCAGATTAGAATTAGGGAGTCAGGGGTTCCAAGAGTGGTGTCTCTAAGAGACAAAATGAATCTATCTAGATACCATATTGAGAGGTACTTATTTCTGCAGAAAGTTTGGAGATGAAATAAAGATAGGCACACAAAAACCAAGGCAAAAAACTGAAAGTGATTATTCATTCTGGGAAAAACAAAAAGACTTGCAGGAAAGAAGTAATCATGTTGCACTAGGGAACTCAGCTTGAGCAATGTTTGAATAATGCATATACGATATATAATATTATTATAAACACTGAATATTCATTCAGGAAAATTGTTTTATATTGGGAGGTTGGGGAAAGGAAAAGAAGTATATATAGAGAAATAAATCCTCTTTTTTTCTACTAAGAGGTCACAAGATAGTATCTATAGTGAAAACAACAGCAAAGGCAGTATTAGCACAGCATTTGGAAGTACCATGTAAATATTAAGCAAAAACAAAGTGAAATAGCAAAATGCTTGCAAACTGCTGCCTTTGGAGAGCAGGGTTAGAGAGGTGGTGTGGGGTATGGAGTATTTGTAACTTTGATTGTAAGCTTCACAGTATCACAGTACTATTTGCATTTTTAATCTATTTAACTGTATTACTTTGGCAAACAAGACCAGTACATACAGGCTGCTACTGCTCTTATGAAATAAAGGGCTGTTCATACATGCATACACAGAGGAGAATATCCCTGGAAGCAGACACAGAAACTGATAATAGGTTATCTTCTTGGTGGGGCCCTGGGGAGTGGAATATGTTAGGGTTGGTGTGGGCATGCTGTCTGTAAAGTGAGGGGACAGCTGTGATGTGGATGCCCAGCTTCTCTGGCTCAGGGAGCAGAAGGCATGTGATACTCACGGAGAAAGTGGCCATCCTGGGCTACCAAGGCCAAGTTGAGCCAGACGAAGCCCTGGTCACTTTTGAATGATTTTCCACTGTGGCCTCTGACAATGCCTTGTGATTTTCCTATTGGTGTCATAGAGAAATGTGGCCCAGATGGCAGTACAGTTGGATGGACTTAGCCAGTTAAAAAAGTATTCAAGAGACCGATAGGTAGAAGTAACCTTTGCAGGGAGGCTGGCTCTGTCCAATATTTTCCCACCTTTTAATCTGTGACTTGCATAAGGACACAAAGGCCTGGTCACCAGATCTGCAGATGACACCTCCTGGGGGCTGGTGGGGGGAGACCTCATGTTCTAGACTTGTCTTGGAGCCAGCACCTTCCCAGTCCAGGGCTGCTTTGGTTTGGCCCTCCAAGAAGAGGTCTGTTCACTCTAAGTTTCCAGCCTATGAGACTTTCCTTTCACATGTTTTTGATCTCAGCAAAAGCAAGGTCCCTTTCCGCCCTAGCATCGGGGCAGCATTGTCTGACTCTGTTTGAATTGGTTGTCCCAGAAGAAGCCTTTTCCCGAGATGCCTCTTCTGGGCCCAGGCCCTTCCGGCGGTGACTGCAGACCGTGCAGACCCTGCAGACCCAAAGAGGGCCCATGTGGCTTCCTGGGCAAGGCACAGCCTGACTCCAGCCCAGACCTCTATGTCTCAGGCGCAGGTCAGCCTGGCTCAGCCCGAGCTCTTCGGACTACTCTGCATTGCCTGGGATGGTTCCTGACACTCTCTTGGGTGGGGTGGGGTCTGGTTTAGGAGCCTGAAGCTTTGCTTCCAGCCTCTGCTCAGGCTGACCCAGCCATGGGGCCTTTCTTCCTAGAACCTCTGGAGGTTCCAACACTTTGTAGACTCCATGGCCCTGTCCTGGCCATTAACGGGCACCTCAAGGCCGCAGGTGGAGTGGTTACAGGTTTATTTCCTGGAAGCCAAAGACCTGGGTTTGAGGCTCAGCTCTGCCACTTAGTAGCTGTGCAAACACGGGGGAGTGTCTTACCCTCCCTGAGCATCAGTTTCCATCCTTATAAAATAGTTGAGGGAAATAGAACCTAATCTCACAAGGTTGTTATTAGGACAACCAGAAGATCAAATCTGTCATTGTTAGAGCAATACCTGGCACATGGGTCAGCACCGATTACGTGGCTGCTGTTACTATCATGGTATTATTATCCCTACTTTTTGCAAATGAGGAAATCAGCTCAAAGAAATGAAGTAATTTCCTCAAGCCCACACAGATTGCAAGTAGCAGATCAGGGAACTAAAAGCCACATTTTCAGGCTAAAGAAGGACCATTTAGAAAATATCTACTATCTGCAGGCAGTACTGTAGAGCAAAGGACTATTGACCCCGTGGGGTGGGGGTGAAGCCAGAAAGCTGGGACTTGAGGAGTGGGAATTCGGGTTTGTCATGTTCTTGATCTCTCTGGGGCAGTAGAAATACTGAGAAGCTTGTAGAACCTGTAGGTGCCTCGGGCTCTATCCTGGCCTTGAATGAGAACTTCAAGGGGTGGGGAGGGCAGATCCTTTTACAAACTCCCTACATGATTCTTACGTGGGACCCCGTTGAGAACTACTAAGCTAGAGGGTCTCAGAGGCAAGGGGGTAAATGGGATGCCAGAGAGAGGCACGAAAGACTAGAGTCATAGGATACCTAAACTGGAGGGAGCTGGGGGGATGCTGGGACTCTAATTTCACAGAAGGGAAACTGAGGCCCGAGAGGGGACTTGGCGAGTCCAAGGTCCCACGGACAGTCAGCAGCAGAGTGACCTCCACCCGTCTTAGGGCCAGCCCCTGAGCCCGCAGGCAGCCCCTCCTGCCTCTCTGGGCTGTGTGGAAGGGAGCCATGGCCCAGGCTGCTGGATTGCTGGCAGGCTGAATGTGTGAGTTTTTCAAATGGCTTTGACTTTTGAGTCCATTAGTGATTAATTCAGGGTTCCATTTAGAGCCAGCTGATCCATATTTGGAGGAGGAGAACATTTTATGGCAGCCGAGATGCAGCCACGATTCATCTATGGGCAGCCCGCCCACTCTGCAGCCTGGGAAGGCACCAACTCCAGGCAGGCACCCCACCAGCACCCTCCCCGAGAGGACTTTCCAGGGGGGTGACTCGAGTCTCTCACCTGGAAGAAGGGTGGGCCCTTTAGGGGTGGGCAGCACAGCCCGAAGAACTTGGTTTAGGGTTCAGCCCTCCACTCCGTCTCTTCCCAGCTGTATAACCTTAGATACAACACTTAAACTCTCGGAGCCTCAGTTTACCCATCTGTAGAAATGATGGCCCCTCCACTTCTCCCACAGAGAGTTGTTGGGAAAATTCAGTGAGATGATGTGTGTGAGTGCACCCGGCACAGAGGCTTTGTCATGAGAGGGTGGCAAGGGCTGGTGAGTTTCTTTTCTGCCCCTCAGCAGCCCCTGATGCCTCCTGGGGAACGAGCTTTGGTGTTTGTATCTCTGGCTTTAACATTTACCACTGTGTGACCTTAGGTAGATTATTTTACCTACTTGACTTTCAGTTTCCTCATCTGTAAAAGAAACAATGGTCCCTTCCTTGCAAGACTGGCATGAAACATGCAGAATGTCCGTGAGAGTTGGCTACACAGAGCAGGCACTCCCGGTGGTGCCCGTGGTGGGGGCAGGAGCCCGAGCTCACTTGTGCGTTGCCTTAGGGATTTAAAAAAAAACCAAAACATTAATTTTTGTTGAAAATTGCTCTTATTGAAAGTGGGTCTGTTCTTTATCACCTCAAGCCAGCAATTCTAACTATGACAGTGACAAAATGCTCCTTTTGACTGGAGCCGGCCACTCCCACTGCCCTTAACCCTTTCTTTCTTTTTCTTTTTTTTTTTTTTTGAGATGGAGTCTCACTCTGTCGCCCAAGCTGGCGTGCAATGGCGCAATCTCAGCTCACTGGAAGCTCTACCTCCCGAGTTCAAGCGATTCTCCTGCCTCAGCCTCTGGAGTAGCTAGGATTATGGATGCGCGCCACCATGCTGGGCTAATTTTTTATATTTTTGGTAGAGTTGGTGTTTCACCATGTTGGCCAGGCTGCTCTCGAACTCCTGACCTCCAGTGATCCGCCTGCCTCAGCCTCCCATAGTGCTGGGATTACAGGCAGGAGCCACTGCACCCGGCCTACCCCTCGCCCCTTGTAGGCCACTGGACACTTCAGCAGTGATGGCTTTTCTTCCTGCTTGTTGACCTGTGGTTCCCAGCATCCACCCCAGTACTTTCCTGGAGAATCTCTCCCCCAACCCGTTCCACACTCTGCTTTCTGCTCCCTCCCAAACGTGTGCAGTCTCTAGACCCTAGTGACAGCTCAGGCCCCTTCCGTGGCCAAGGCGGCAGTCATGGTGCTCTCCATGAACACCACACGCCACTCCAGCTCCCATCTGTCAGGCCCTAGCCTGGATCTGCACAATGCCACTGGAAGGAGGCTGGCTCTCCATCAGACAGAGTCAGGATATGAACCTGGGCCTGCGTGCTCAGAGAGGTCCGGCAGTTTGCCTTGGGTCTCGTAGCTAGAGGTAGAGAAATAGGATCCAGATAGATCCAGATAGGTCTGTGAGCAACCCGGCGGGAAGCAGGTGGCACACTCAGCAGGATCTTTGAAGGTGCTTTGCAGTGAAGGAACTGTTCAGAAGGAGGCCCAGGGAAGCACCCAGGGGCCAGCCCTGACTGCCCCAGGCCTGAGGTGATAGCTGAGAGCTGGAGCTGCAGAAGCTGGCTGCTAGCCTGAGACAGCGGGAACACAGACACTGCAGAGTCGTGTGGGGCTGGGAGGGAGAGGAGGATAAATCCCCACCCATCCCTCATACCTCCAGTCCTCCTGGAGCTTCCCTTAAGCCAGAGGGAAAGGGAGGTGGGAACACTGTCAGTAGAGATCAGCCTCCCAGGGCACAGAGTGCAGTGGGCACACAGAATCCCAGCATAGTTTCTTTCCACTCTCCCAGGGCTGGGAGCTGAAGGATGTTTTTCTAGTCAGTGAGATGTGAAACAGTGAGTGGCTGGCAGGGTGCGAGGCCTCCACCTACCATCGTCAGGGCTCTGGGAGAGCCTCCTGCTTCCTGCTCTACCTCTGAGTCTCCACTCCTAAAATCACCCTCCAAATTCTTCACCTAGTTTTTGTTGTTTATTGAGACGGGGTCTTGCTCTGTCGCCCAGGCTGGAGTGCAGTAGTGCGATCACAGCTCGCTGCAGCCTCAACCTCCTGGGATCCAGTGATCCTCCCACTTCAGCCTCCTGAATAGCTAGACTATAGGTGCGTGCCAGTATGCCTGGCTAATTTTCAATTTTTTTGTAGAAATGGGGTCTCCCTGTATTGCCTAGGGTGGTCTCAAACTCTTGGGCTCAAGCGATTCTCCCGCCTCAGCCTCCTGAAGGGCTGGGATTACTGGTATGAGCCGCCGCACCCGGTCTTCACTTAGTTACATGTCCCTAAATTCCACCAATCAGAGCCTCATTTGAGTCAACAAACCACATACCCTGGAATGTCAATAGGGGACTGTTAGTCACTCACTCCTGCATACAGACTCCTTTCATGGGATTGCTGGCCTCTCAGGAGAGTAGAGGTTTGATGGAAGACAGGAGAGGAACAGGAAAGGACTAAAGGAGGGAGGGGTAATTTTGGAGCATGGAGGGGACCATGAAGAGAGGGGAGAGCAGGTCTGGGTCAGGGTGGTGGGCTCCCACTCTCACAGTCTAGGTGTGGGTTGTGCACAGCCCAGGAGCACAGGGGCACCTGGAGTATAGGAGAGAAACACAGAGAGAGGGCAGGCTGGGTGTCCCCTCTGAGGCCCCGGGTAACACAAACACTCTTACCTACCAAACACTGCGCTGACGTTTCATACACCTCCCCTCATTTAATCCTCACGAGTGTGTGGGGGGAGATTTACTACCCCACTGCAAAGAGGAGCAGACTGAGGCTCAGGTGGATTCAGAACCTTGCTCGACGCCTCAGAACTATTAAGTGGCAGAGTCAGGATTTGAATGTAGATCTGTCCGGCTCTAGAGACAGTGTTTTCAACCAGCCTGTGGTGACCCCACCACCCGCCATCCACCATTTATACATAAACACACATACCCTTCAGCCTCCTTCACACTGAACCCCCGCCACAGCCCTCCAAGAGACATATCATTCTTGTCCCTTATCCAGATGATGAAACTAAAGTTCAGAAATGTCAAGTGAGTTGCCCGAGGTCACACAGCCCTGCCACAGCAGTTCAGGTTCTGGGATCCAGGCCTCCTGGGCCCCAGGGCACCACTGTCTCACCTCCACTGGCTGCCTTGGGTGCTGGACCTGTAGGCCTAAGAGCTTGCTGGTGGACAGGGACCCAGGTTCAGGATAGGGTGAGAGAGACAGGCAATGAGGGCTCATCCTCTCTTAGCCTGAGGCAGAGCTCCCTCCCGCCCTCTTACTCTCAGGGGTCACACGGCCATTTCACCCTCTGCCTGTAGCTTATAAGCAAAATCCTCTTGACTGGGATGGGATCCTATAGACAAGAGACATCGCTGACAGGGATGATTAGGAAGACCAGTCAGTCCACGATCTGCTGCAACCAAGTTTGCTGTCAAGTGGCCTAGCAAGGCTGGTGGTTTGCTGGCTGCAGGCAGCCGGGCTCTAATCCCGGCTCACTCAGACCCACGAAGTGACCTCTTTTCTTGGGTTGAGGATGGAAATTGGCAGATGGCCAGAGGTGGGGACCCTGGCTTCCCCAAGGTCCTACTGGCTTCCCCATCCGTAACCGAGGGACTGGACATAAGCCCCTTCAGTTCTGACATTCTATGATGAACCCTCGTAGAGTGTGCTGCTCGCTACAGGGCATATTCGCCTAACTTTCCTCTCACCTGGCTCATCTCTGCATCCTCTATGGTGTGCCTGGCACACTGGAGGGTCCAGGGATGTTTCTAGAAGACATATTTATTACTGCGCTTTATTATTATTGATTACTGCCTTTTCTGTGTCAGCCAACCCCAAGTCTCCTTCCTCAAAGAGACACCCCCACCCCTTGCAGCAGGAGACAGGCTTGCTGGCCTCCTTTCCCCGGCCACACAGTGCTGGCCTCCTTTCCCCGGCCACACGGTCTTCATGCCTCTCTTTTCAGCATCCATGACACCTTCCTGAAGCTCTGCCCTCCTGGGAAGTACTACAAGGAGGCAACGCTCACCATGGACCAGGTCAGCTCCCTGCCAGCTCTGCGGGTGAGTCCAGGATGGTGGGTGGGGCAAGGGCAGCATCAGTGGGACCTGCTGATGGGCTGATGGGTGCTGGGAGGGGTGGGGTGAGGTGGGCACTCCGTGCTGTGGGATGGTCACCTCACTCCAAGGGGCTCCTGATCCTCCAGGCAGAGGAGTGCAAGGACATGGCTCCCAAACACTTCCTGCATGCATCTGGCCTCCCTCCATCCTCACCTCGGTCCTAGAGCAGGACCCTGTGATAACAGTCACTACTTCTCAGGTGGGGCCAGGGGCAGATGGGGCATGAGACCTGCTCCAGGCCTTACCGTGGGAGGTGGCGGCCCCATCTGGAGGTGCTCACTGGCCCTGCTGCTCAGCCTCCGAGGCCAGCCTATGGGTCTTTAGATGGGCTTCAGCTTGCAGTCCACCCCACTCTGTTTGCTCATTCCTTACTTAACCCTCACCCCAGTGACCCCACACCAGCCAGTTTCCTCTGCTGTCTGTTGTGCCCCAAACTAGGGCAAGTGACCCTAGGCCAGGATCCCCTGCAGGACCATTAGGCCTTGAGGAAGCCAGGGTGCCACCCTAGCCATCGGCCCAGTCCCTCAGCCCTTCTCTTCTCCTCAGGCTGCCTCAATGGACTGGGGCTTTTCTAGAGGGACTGAGAATTTTCTCAGGTTCTTCTCTGAGAAGACAGGAGGAGCAGGGCTCGGGGCCCAGAGACTGTCCTCCCAACCTGCCTTTTTCCCAGCTCCAGGAGTGGCTGCAGGAAAGAAGGGTGCTTGCATTTCTGCTCTTGCAATCCTCTCTCTCCTCAACTCGCCCTCAATTCAGCCAGCGCTGCCTGGGCTGGAGGCTCCTGTTACACAGAAGGCTGGTTGAATGCTCATTCCCTCCCAGTTTCCACAACTTGTCCTGGGCTGAATCTCACCTTCCAACCACCTAGAACACACTCCCACCCCCCACAAACACACACCCTTGCTGTGGATGGGTCCTTGGCAAACCTTCCCTGGTCTTGGTTTCCTCACCTGTAAAATGGGTAGAGCAGTGGGGGGAGGCTGGGAGTGACCATGTGCACTCTAAGACTCCTGGCCCCACAGGCAGTGCTAGCCTGAGCTGTCCCTGCTCCCCCCACCTCCCAATCCTTTAGGGACAATTATCTGAGCCTTTATCCCTGTTATGAAGAGGCCCTGCCCTTCCCCCAGGGCAGCCTGGAAGAGCCTAGAGGCACACAATAAAGGACTCCAAAATCACTCCTGAGATTTTAATTAAAATTTGTGCATTGCATTGAGAGGAAATGTCACGTTAACAAATCATGGCTACGTCAGGCTTCTCTATTTTTCATTCGGTTCTTGGCAGAATAATGACTTCAGTTTGTCATTGTTCAATGAGAGCCCATCTTCGTTTCTGTTTGGAACGAACTGGGCTCTGAGAACTGTGGCCACCACTTGGAAGAGGCCTGGGGATACCAGGGAGGAGGAGGCTGGCTCCTGAGGAAGGGACATGGAGGGGGCACAGACATGTCATTCAAGCCACGGCTGCACGGCCCCTCCTAAGTGACAGGCCTATCTGTAGGGCAGACAGAGACAGAGGAAAATGCACAAAGCTGGGTCTTGAAATAGAGGCAGGAGTGGAGAAGACAAAATAATGAGAAAGGGTGAGGGGTGGGTAGGTGGGTGGGGGTAGCTGGGAGAAGCTGGGATTCTGGAGGGGAAAGAAATAGAAACCTCAGAAAGGTGAGTGAATCGGAGACTGTGACTGTGACAGAAACAAAATGGGGAGGCGGTCTTCCTGGCACCCCCCACTTCCTGGCCTCACCCTCATACAGTCACACCCCATGTGTACACGTGCATGGGCTCCACCACATGTGGGTGGGACTTCTCTCAAACCCAGGCCATCCACTAAGGGACCCGGGGTCAGGGCCAGCCAGACAGGCAGGGCTGATGGGAAGCTTCTGCCCTCCCCTGGGTGGGTGCAGGGTCACTGGTCAGTCCCAGACTCTCTGAATGCTACGACTGGAAAGAAACTTAGAGACCACCCAGTCTAGTCACTGTCAAATGCTCCTCACCCTGATTTTATTAATGGGGAAACTGAGGTCCCAAGAGGGAAACAACTTCCAAGGGGCCACATGATGGAAGAGTCTGGACTAGTTCCTGCTCTGGGGGAGTCAGCTTGAACTCTGGCCCAGGCAGAGCCTCCTATTCTAATCAAGGCTTGGCTGAGCAGTGACCATGTGCCTGGGTCTTCCAGGTGCCACAGAGGGCCCAAGGGGAGCCGAACTGGAGGGGTGGCATAGAGGGTGTTGGTGACCCATGGCCTCAACACATCCTTCTCCAGCAATAGCCTTGTCTCAGTAGGGCCTGGAGTCTCTGTTTGGCCCCCAAAGGAGTAAGCACTGGACTAAGATCAGGAGGGCTGAGTCTGGGCCTGGAGCTATCACACTCCTTGCATGTATATCCCCCCATCTATAAACCAATATGAACACCTTGTGCTGGGTAAGGGACCCGGTGGAGGTGAGCCATTGTCCTCTGCACTATCTTTTATGCTTCCCCTGTTCCTCTCTTCCATGTCATGGGTGAGGAGCCTGTTGGGGTTAGGGGTGGGGTGCAGCAAGGCTTGAGAAGACCTGGGATGGGGCAGGTGGGGTGAGGCCTGCTCTTCCCAGCAGATAGGCTAGGTGCACAGGCCGGGGCTGGGATGCTTCACCTTTTCTGGAGTCTCAGACCCCCTCTTCCCCCCGAACTTGCTCACTGGAGAGCAACTGGGAAGTGGAGTCTTGGCCACATGATTTTAATTTTACTTTTCTGATTTAATCTTAAATGGTCATGATTTTATTCTATTATACAAATAAGAGCCAGCTCATTGTAGAAAAACTAGAGAACACAGAAAAACAAAAAAAAGATTAAAATGATATATTAGTCTACCTCAAGGGATGACTGCCACAATCATTTTGGCTTATTTCCTTCCAGACTTTTTTTCTATGCAGATATATACATGTTGATTTGGATCCCATTGATTTTTTTTTTTTTTTTTGTATGTTGCTTTTTTTTTCTACTTGGGTTTCTTTCTTGCTTTTCCATCTGGTCTCTAACAGCCAGAACCGTCTTTTGAACTGAAGACCCTGAGCCATTGCCCCACCTAGAGAACTAGGGATAGGGCACCAGGCCAGGCATGAAAGAACTAGGTTTGGATTCACTTGCTAGCCACATGATCTTCGGCAAGTGACATCACAAGAGGAATGACTGGAGTGGGGAGAAGCAAAGGGGCAAATAGACTTCAGCTAACTATACTATAAGGCTACAGTAACCAAAACAGCATGGTAAAGGTACACAAACAGACATGTAGACCAATGGAACAGAATAAAGAACCCAGAAATAAGGCCACACACCTACAACCATCTGATCTTTGACACACAACAAAAATGAGCAATGGGGAAAGAATTCCCTATTCAATAAATGATGCTGGGAGAACTGGCTAGCCATATGCAGAAAATGTGAAACCAGATGCCTTCCTTATACCTTATACAAAAATTAACTCAAGATAGATTAAAGATTTAAATGTAAAACCCCAAACCATAAAAACCCTAGAAGAAAATGTAGTCAATGCCGTTTAGGGCATATGCATGGGCAGAGATTTCATGATGAAATTGCCAAAAGCAATTGCAACAAAAGCAAAAATTGACAAATGGGATCTAATTAAACTAAAGAGCTTCTGCACAGCAAACAAAACTGTCTGTGCAAGTCCGGGTGGGAAGCAGTGGGGGGGTGGAGCCTGTTTTCCACAGGTGGGCACAGTGGCTCACGCCTGTAATCCCAGCACTTTGGGAGGCCGAAGCGGGTGGATCACCTGAGGTTGGGAGTTCGAGACCAGCCTGATTAACATGGAAAAACCCCGTCTCTACTAAAAATACAAAATTAGCCGGGCATGGTGGCACATGCCTGTAATCCCAGCTATCTGGGAGGCGGAGGCAGGAGAATCGCTTGAACCCAGAAGGCAGAGGTTGTGGTGAGCTGAGATTGCGCCATTGCACTCCAGCCTGGGCAACAAGGGCGAAACTCCATCTCAAAAAAAAAAAAAAAAAAAAGGCTGTCCTTAGGAAAGGCCTCGCTCTAGGTGGTCCCAGACATAGGTCCAGGTACAAGCACATGCAGGTTTCTCCACAATACAAGTAAACACTCCCTAACTGCCAGCGCTATGCACAGAGGGAATGCGCTTTCTGTCACTGACGGGTGTTCTAGCATCCTTCGGTCTCAAAAAGAGATTGGACCGATGATCTGGTGCCCTCCTCACTCTCTGAGTCTGTGGTTCTGGCCCTAGGACTTGGTCTTACTCTCTTTTGTGGTGTGCCATCTACCACAGTATGTCCCAGACTTACAAAAAAATTTGTGGGTACATAGTAGGTGTATATATTTATGGGGTACATGAGATGTTGTGATGCAATGCGAAATAAGCACATCGTGGAGAATGGGGCATCCATCCCCTCAAGCATTTATCCTTTGAGTTACAAATAATCCAATTACCCTCTAAGTTATTTCCAAATATACAATTATTATTGACTATAATGCCTATATAAAAAAAATATATATATATATACACCATAATACCTTGTTGTGCTATCCAATAGTAGGTCTTATTCATTTTTTCTATTTTTTTTGTGTGTACCCATTAACCATCCCTGCCTGCCCCGCCCCCCACCCTCCCACTAAACTTCCCAGCCTGGTCCCAGACTTTTTATTCAAAAACAAAATCTTTTTTTGAGGCAGGACTAGAGATGCCAACTTTCAGTTTTGCCAAGTAAGGACATTAAAAAAAATATGTCATCCACTGTCAGTGACCATCATTTTATTTTAAAGAAATATTAATTTTAAAACAAAAATGTAAGAAGCCTCGAGTGTTTTCAGACACACCCCCTTTTGTCCGTATTGTTCTCCGTTTGTCACCTGTTGTCAAGAACTTTGTCACTGGCTCATCCCTAGTGCTCAGACCAGCTTTTGGAGACCTAGAGCGAGGACTAAAGATTCCTTCTGTGTCTTTCCGATTCTGGACAAAGCAGAAGCCTTGCTTCCCAAAATGAGCAAGGAGAGGCTTGCTGGGAGGTGGGGGCCCGGCTGTGCCTGCATCCTCTGTGGCCGCAAGGACGGGAGCTGCGTGACTCACACTGCCCAGAACACGTCTCTGGAATAGGCTTTGAGAACTGGGCCCCAGGGAGCTCTGGGTACTGATATAACTTGGCTCAGGGGCTTGAGTGGTCTGGGAAGAAAGCTTTGTTTTCTTAACTTGGGTTCACTCGTGGAAAAAGCGGGCTTGGGAATATTGGGAAGGGTCTGCCTATCAGTGGAGAACAAGGCGAGAGAACATCCTGGGTAGCAGGAAAAGCCTGCTGACCAAAATGTCCCGCACGGGGACAGGACACAGTGCCCCCTTTCCACTCAGCAGTTTCTGTTTTCTTTTTGTCTGATGGATTTGGTGTATTTAAAAGTGTATTAGCTCAATGTTTCTGTTCTTGTAAATAATTATCTTGCTTTCTGTAAACACAGATGAGTGTGGCATGGTGTGACTTGGGTTTCTAGTTTCCGAGCCCAGAGCTGTAGTTGCATCCACTGGGGATGGCTGGAAACAGGGCCTAAAGGAAGATCGCAGGGCCTTGGAGCAGGTAGGGTGGAGGCCTGCACACTGGCGGGGCCACCTCACCCCCCTGGCCTCTTCCCTCCTCCTGCTCCGGGCTTCCTGCTGGCAGATGGTCTTCGCATAGACCCGCCCCTGCTACATTTTATTCCATCTGTTACAGAGCAGAGAGGTTTGGAAACCTGCCCAAGGTGTAGGGAGGTATGGTCAGGATGGCCCCTAAGGTTTCAGCTCCATCTCGGTTTCTATGTATCTCCCAAAGTTTTCCGAGCCTTTCTGAGTCCTGCTTAGAACTAGTTCCTATCTGCTTAGAACAGCTTGCAAAGAACTCACTCCCAAGGCTGAAAGCGATGAAAAGTCCTGAAATTTACTCAGCCTTTCAAGAAATCCTAAAAGTAGGTGGGGTGGGAATGGTAGTGTATTTTTAAAAATTTAATATTTATTTTATTATTTATTTATTTATTTTGAGACAGGGTCTCACTCTGTTGCCCAGGTTAGCGTGCAGTGGTGTGAACACGGCTCCCTGCAGCCTCAATCTCTGGGGCTAAAGCGATCCTCCTGCCTCAGCCTCCCGAGTAGCTGGAACCACAGGCATGTACCACCACACCCAGCTAATTTTTGTGTTTTTCATAGAGATGGAGTCTTGTCATGTTGTCTGGTTGGTCTTGAATGCCTGGGTTTAAGCAATTCTCCTGCCTCAGCCTCCCAAAGTGCTGGGATTAGAGGCATGAACCACCATACCTAGCCTTAATTTTTATTCTAATTAAAAAAAATTTTTTTTAGTTTTTATCATTTATTTATTTATTTATTCTTATTTATTTTTTTTGAGATGGAGTCTCACTCTGTTGCCCATGTTGGAGTGCAGAAGCACCATCTCAGCTCACTGCAACCTCTGCCTCCCAGGTTCAAGCAATTCTTCTGCCCCAGCCTTCTGAGTAGCTGGGATTACAGGCGCGTGCCGCCATGCCTGGCTAATTTTTGTATTTTTAGTAGAGATAGGGTTTCTCCATGTTGGCCAGGTTGGTCTTGAACTCCTGACCTCAAGTGATCTGCCCACCTCGGCCTCCCAAAATGCTGGGATTACAGGTGTGAGCCACCTCACCTGGCCTTTTTTTTAAGTTTTTAAATCAAAATTATTCATGTGTGCCAGGAGTTAAGTTGCCCTATGAGGGTTGCCACATTTCCTCTTCTCAAAGGCAACTATTTTCAGCTCTTGGCTGATTCTTTCCTTATTTGCCTCCATGTCTTTAAAGAGCACCTTGTATTACCCCTTCTTGATAGTTCAGCCTTTGACTTCCCCTAAGAAGAGCTAAAGCTCTTCCCCTCCCCAACACCCATCCTATTCCTCACTCCTTGTTCCCCTGCCCTCCCAATATAGTTACATGATAGTTTGGGGGAGATCAATAGTCAATGTTTTGTATTATTATTATTTATTATTATTATTTTTTGAGATGGAGTCTTGCTTTGTCGCCCAGGCTGGAGTACAGTGATGCGATCTCGGCTCACTGCAACCTCTGTCTCTTGGGTTCAAGCAATTCTCCTACCTCAGCCTCCCAAGTAGCTGGGATTACAGGTGCCCGCCACCATGCCCAGCTAATTTTTGCATTTTTAGCAGAGACAGGGTTTCACCATGTAGGCCAGGCTGGTCTCGAACTCCTGACCTCAGGCGATCCACCCGCCTCGGCCTCCCAAAATGCTGGGATTACAGGCGTGAGCCACCATGCCTGGCCTCAATGTTTTGTATTATTATGACTGCATACACTGTTCAGAGCTGAGTCATGAAATAAGCTGTAGTTACTTTCCCTTTCTGTGTAGTTTTGTTTATTTTTCCTGGATGTCATCATTGTTTTTGCTTAGTTGTCTATGTACTTTTCATTGAAATGACACCAAACCTCTGCCAATCTTCTAAGTCTTCTCCAAAGGCATTTAGAAGTGAGAAGTTTCCTGTACATTTCCTTTTCCTAGCAAAATTTCTCTTGGAGCCTTCTAACATTCTCTAACCAGGACTGGGTTGCCCTCTGAGCCTGGTATATGTTACCACCTTGGGATCTCCTTTCATGACCATCTCAGATTCTTCTCACCACTCTCTTGGGTCTTGCATTTTCTGTTTTCATGTCTCTCCATTTACTCCCCTTCTTTTGGTGGAGCACATCCTCTGGTAGCTTTCTGATAAAGGCTGCATGGAGATAAATGTTTTTACAACTTACATATCTGAAAATGTCTTTTTCTCCTCTCATACTTGACTGATAATTTACCTATTTATTTATTTTTTGTAGAGATAGGGTCCCACTATGTTGCCTAGGCTGGTCTTGATCTCCTGGGCTTAAGTAATTCTCCTGCCTCAGCCTCCCAAAGTGCTGGGATAACATGTGCATGCCACTGAAACTGGCCTTTGACTGAGAGTTTAGATGGAATTGTAGGTTGGATATCATTTTTCTTTAGAATTTGGAAAGCATCACTTAATTGCATTTTAGCTTTCACCGTTGTTATTGAGAGGTCCAAAGCCTTTCTGTTTCCTGATCTTTTTTCATTCCCTGTTTTTTTTTTTTTTTTTTTCCTGGAAACTTGTAGACTCTTCTCTTTTATTTTACTACTCTGATATTCCCAACAATAATTGTTGGCACGAGTCCTTTCCCCTGTGTGTGAGGCACGCGGAGGACCCACTCAGTCTGGAAACTCATGTCCTTCAGCTCTGGGGCCTTTCCTTTAATTATTTCATTGATAACTTTCTCCCTTCTGTTTTCTTTGTCCTTTCTTTCTGGAACTTTAATATTCTGATGCTGTACATCCTAGATTGGTCCTTTATTCTCTGTCTTTTCTCTCCTACTTTTCATCTTTGCCTTTTTGCTCTTCTTTCTGGAAGATTTCCTCCACTTTATCTTCAACTCTAATAGGGTTTTTCACTTCTGCCATCATGCGTTTAGTTTCCAAGAGCTCATTTTTGTTCTCTGATCTTTCTCGTTTTTGTAGCGTCCTCTCCTTTTTCCTTTAAGGTGCTTTTCTCACTTGTTTGTTTGGGTCCTTGGCTTGCGCGTCAGAAGCCTTCCTCAGATATCTGGTCATCAAGGGCTCATGATGATGACTGAAGGGTGGTTGCTAAAAAGCTGTTTTAAAGCTGAAGTCCCTAGGTGGGATTTATCAACTGGGAGCTTCACTGAAGGGCGATCTGAGGGGTCATTTTGAGGATTCTCTAGAAAAATGGAGAGTAAAATTCTGCCTGCTAGCATCCTAGAGCCATGTTAGGAAAGAGGGCTGGTGAGGTCTCAGAGTTCAGCACCTGTATGTTTATTCACTCCCCAGTTCTCAACCATGTCTGACGTCCCCCGTGGAGAAAGCCTCTGCTATACTCTCCCCAGAGAACAAACTCCCGTCTTTTGCAGGGGCTGGGGATGGGCAGTCACCCCGTGGTGCTGAGCAGCCTGTAGGTTGGCGGGGGTGGGGGTGTCTAGAACTCCAACTGCTTTAAACACTTGCAATTGACCTTCCTTTCAGCCAGCCTCTATTTCCAGCGCTACCAGGGACTTCCAGTCGCAGAGTCTGTAGGGGATTCCGGGATGGAGATCAGGGTGGTGTCACCTTCCCCGCTGTGGGATTCGGGTCCTGCTTCCTCAGTCGCGGAGTCTGTAGGGGATTCTGGGATGGAGATTGGGGTGGTGTCACCTTCCCCACTGTGGGCTTAGGGTCCTGCTTCCTCAGTCACAGAGTCTGTAGGGGATTCTGGGATGTAGATCAGGATGGTGTTGCCTTCCCCGCTGTGGGCTTCGGGTCCTGCTTCCTCAGTCGCAGAGTCTGTAGGGGATTCCGGGATGGAGATCAGGATGGTGTTGCCTTCCCCGCTGTGGGCTTCAGGTCCTGCTTCCTCAGTTGCGGAGTCTGTAGGGGATTCCGGGATGGAGATCGGGGTGGTGTCACCTTCCCTGCTGTGGGCTTAGGGTCCTGCTTCCTCAGTCACAGAGTCTGTAGGGGATTCTGGGATGTAGATCAGGATTGTGTTGCCTTCCCCGCTGTGGGCTTTGGTTCCTGCTTCCTCAGTCGCAGAGTCTGTAGGGGATTCCGGGATGGAGATCGGGGTGGTGTCACCTTCCCCGCTGTGGGCTTTGGGTCCTGCTTCCTCAAATCTGCTGGGTTACTTCCCACTTGCTTGTCTGTTTCCTGTGTATGTCACTGTGAATCTGCTGTTGTTTCCCTGTCAGGTCTCTATGTTTTTGTGGGTCATGCCTCTAAGAAACCCCTTTACTTTCATTTTGGCAGGTGTCAGGAGGGAGTGAGGTTTGATGCAAGGGATCTTTCACCCTGTCGCTTTACCCAGGAATCACACCTGCCTTTCCGATGTGCAGTAAAACATTACAGAAATCCCCTCCTCATCGTTGCCCTCGTAGAATCTTCCGCACATATAGCAGCTGCCCCCACAACTTTCCTTTTCCATTCTCCATTCCCAAACTCCCAAGCGCTCCATGAGGCTGGTGTCCTGAGAGCCTGGTCCTGTACTGCCCTCCTTCCGGTCTCCACGCTGGGACGCCCAGCAGCCAGGCACCTCCGGAGCCTCCCTCACCCCCCGGGGAGGGCCCTGTGGGGAGACTCCTGGGAAATGTCACTCCTCTTTCCTTTGATTTCATCCCCAGAGGGAAAAGACCATGGATAAGAGAAGTTTTTGTGGAGAATGCCTGGTGAATAGAGGCTCCCACGCCTGGTTCTCATCCATCACCCCATAAGAAGTGACTATGCCTTTACTGCGGGTTGTGCACCGAGTTCGGTCATGGGGGCCGATGGGGCTTCTTCTCAGGGAATTCTGGATAAAGAACAGGAGACTCACCAGCCAGGGGCTTCACAGCGCTCAGATTATTGACCCAAGTGCCCAAAGTGCCCAAAGCTGGGGCCCAGATGGTCTCACCCAGGCTACCAGTAAGCACAGTCCCTCCTAGAGAGGCCGGTGGGAGATGCCTTGGTCATGCCCGTCAGCATCTCCTTCCCACTTCTTAGGAGCTGAGTGGCTTCCTGGGCGGCCATGCAAGCCTTGGCACAACTTCTTCCTCCATGAGGACCCAGGAAGGACCTCGCCAGTGCTGCCCTGCGGTCAGGCTAGGACCAGGCCCTCGGAGTACCCACACGTAGACCCTTCCCCAGCACCCGGTCCGACTGGACCCCCAGGCCCAAGGCAGGCTTGGCTCTCTGGCCCAGTGAAAACTTTGCCATTAAAAATGACAGTCTTGACTGGGTGCGGTGGCCCATGCCTGCAATCCCACTACTTTAGGAGGTCGAGGTGGGAGGATTACTTGAGCCCAGGAGTTCAAGACCAGCCTGGTCTTGATCTCACTATGTTGCATAGTGAGATCCTTTCTCTACAAAAAATAAAAAATTAGCCAGGCATGGTGGTGTGCACCTGTAGCCTCAGCTGCTCAGAAGGCTGAGGTGGGAGGATGGCTTGAGGCCGGGAGGTTGAGGCTGCAGTGAGCCATGATGGCACCATTGCACTCCAGCCTGGGTGACAGAGTGAGATTCTGTCTGAAAGAAAAGGAAAGACAGTCCTGCTTCTTCTTGCAGAGACCTGGGCTGGAGGGGTCTCAAAGGCTCTTGGGTTTTTGAGCCTCTTTTCCTCTGGATATGGCACATGTGGAGGGTGTTAGAATCTGCCTGTCCACCTGAGATGAGGTCGGGGTGGAGGGAGGCAGGGCCTGGACTCCAGGGATCTTCCTGGTGCATTTTTTGATCAGTTTTTTCAGAGCTGTGTCATGGCCTCCACCTCACCACACTTTCCAAGGGTGAGCCAGCCTTCATAGATGGAGAAACTGAGGCCCACAGGTGGGATGCAACCTACACTTGGTAACAGGGCCAGTCAGAGGGTGAGCCAAGGTTCCAACCCAGGCTTCCCTCCCCAGCCTAGGCCGTTCCACACTCCCTGTTCTGATTTTCTACCGTGTCCAGAGGAAACTCCATGTCTGAGGTTTGGTCCGTTGATGAGGAGCTGCCTGACCTCCTGGCTGTCACGAACTCAGGGCAGCCCTCTGGGAACGCTACACTCAGCCAGAGGGCAAAGGATTGAGCAGGAGGAAAGCAGCCGCAGGGGGCTCTTTGATCATCCTCAACCCAGGCAGGGACAGCTGGACCCGGTGATAATCCTCCTCCTGTATTTAGGCCACTGCCCTGAGCCCCTCCCTCACCCTCAGATAGTCTCCCTGGCTTGTTAATGAAAAGCAGCAGATTGGATGAGTACAGCAATTCCACTCTCCAACCCCAAATGTTCTCTGCCCTAGTCACCGCTTCATGGTTGCAAGCACTTTCACAGTCTACCTAGTTTGATCCTCACAGCAGCTCTGTAAGATGCAGTGGTATCTCCCCATTCTACAGATGAGGAAACTGAGGCTCTGAGAAGCTGAAAGCCCTACTCAAGGCCACACAATTGCCCAGAGACTGTCCTGCCAACTTGCCTTCATCCAGCTCCAGAAGTGGCTACAGGAAATAAGGGTGTTTGAATTTTTGCTCTTGCCAACTTCTCTCTCCTCATCTCGCCCTCAATTTAGCCAACCCTCCCTGAGCTAGAGGCTCCTGTTACACAGGGGGCTGGCTGAATGCTCATTCCCTCCCAGTTTCCCCAACTGTTCCTAGGCTGAATCCCACCTCCTACATGCCCAGGACACAATCATGCCCACCCACGCTCACGTGCACACACACACACACACACACACACACATTCCATGCTCTTGCTGTGGGTAAGTTCTTGACAAACCACTTCCCTGGTCTCGGATTCCTCACCTGTAAAATGGGTAGAGCAGTGGGGGAGGCTGGGAGTGACCATGTGTGCTCTAAGACTCCTGACCCCTCACAGGCAGTGCTTGCCTGAGCTGTCCCTGCTCCCCTCACCTTCCAATCCTTTAGAGGCAATCGTTTGAGCCTTTGTCCCTGTTATGAAGAGGCCCTGCCCTTCCCCCAAGACTTCTGTTTGCTCTTCTGCATATCTCTTCATCTTCTCGGGAAGATAAAAGTCAAAGTCACCATGCAGGTGACACGTGTGTGTGCCTGTGTGGATACACACGTGTGCACATGTCTAATTTATGTACATGTGTGTGGTAGGAGGAGGAAGGAGGATGGGAAGGAGCTGGTGGCCGGGGTGGTTGATGGCTGAGATGGAATAGCTTTTCTCATACACATCTGGGACGCCCTGTGGAGTGTCTGTCTTGGGTGTTGGGGTAGCCTGGGCTTAGGTCCAGCTCCTGACAGCAGGGCCCCTTCAGCTCCCAGCACCCAGCTTCTCGGGCTCCTGTGGTAGGCCTGGGAATTGTCTGATTCCCAAGTCCCCAAGCCAGGCCCCACCTTTAGTGCCCAGACGCCCCAGCGGGACAAATCTTCCACTGAGAAAGGACAGAGAGAACAAAGGGCCCAGCCTGGCCTCCCAGGCTCCCATCCCAAGGCTCCACCTCGCAGGGCCCAAGGTCACCAAGCCTTTCATTACATTGGGGAGATGCATGCTGGCTCTGTGAGCACCCTAGGAGTTGGCGACCTCCACTCTTCGCTCACCCAGGGCTGCAGGCACGGCCACCATGCTGCATTCGGCTGACCTCAGGCCAGCTGGCTGCCCCATGTGGCCCCCAGGAAGTCCTGAGATCTGGGCTGTGCCCAGCACGGTGTGGGATGTCACACATGCATCATCTCACTTACTCCTCAAGGTAACTGTTTGAGGAGGGAGTTGTTCGCTTCATTTACAGCTGGGCCGCAGAGGCCCACAGGGGTTAAGCAGCCCAGCCACCACAGTCACATGGCTGATGGAAATCGGCAGCCTTGCTCTCCAGTGCTCACCCCCCACCGCCCCCCAGCGCTGGTGGGAGGGTCCCGACGCCTGATGCCAGTCGGAGCTGGGAGGGTAACTTGGCAGCTGGCTCACACCCTGCATTTTCAAGCATCATTAGATCTTTTTCTGACAACTTCATCAGTTAGCAGGGCTCAGAATTGGCAAAAATCCTTATTTAGACATTCAGCCAAAGAATTAAGAAGTGGTTTGTTTCAGAAAAAGCTCAGTGATGTAGGAGGCAGTCTCTGTTCTGGGTCGAGCAGGCAGCAGTGGAGGGACGGGCTCTGGCCCCCTGCCTCGGCCTTGCCGCTGCCACCTGGCGGTCTTGGGCTTGGCACCACCCTTCTCAGGGCCTCAGTGTCTTCATCTTCCAAATGGGTGTGATAGCACCTCCCACAGGTGAGGAAGGTAGCGAGGAAAGCCTGGGAAGTTGGGGAAGAAGAGCTCAGGGCTCTAGTTTTAGCTTTCCCATCTGCTGGCTGTGTAGCCTGGGGCCAGTTCCTTCCTCTTCCTGGGCCTCAACTTTCTACCTGGACCAAAGGGCGGGGCATGGATGACCTGAGGCTCTAATCTCACGCCAGGGGTGAAGGGAGCCTGTAGGGATGGCAGCCGCTCTCCCAGGGCATCCTGGGAGGTAGGGGAGATTCTGTACCCTGCAGCCTATGTGGTACCTCTTGCAGGGGACAACGGATGGGTAACACTTCCCACTGCTCACCTGGCTGCAGTTTGTTCGACTCCTGTTTCATGCTGTCTGGGGGCAGGGGATGGAGAGGCATTCTGCTTTCATTTGTCCAGGATTTGACTGTTCCCCTGACTCCTTACCTGCCACATCTTACTGGGAAGTAGCATTCAGACTGTTACTGTCTCCAGTTCATGGAGGAGAAAATTAGGCACTGGGTACCTGAGTGACCTCCCTCAGTCACCCAGCTAGTCTGGTATGCGGCCAGGGCTGGAACTCAAACCAGCACTGGCAACTGCAGGGCCAACTCTCCTTGCTTCTCATCACGTTTCTCACTTCCTGGGAAGATTTTCTCATCCAGTCAAACCCACTCAGGCCTCTAATTGGTTCTGTCAATGATTCGTGACTTCTCTCAAAGCTCCCAAGAGCAGGGCGCATTATCCTTGACGTGCAGCATTGGAGAGGCAGTTTAGCAAATGGAAGGAGTTCAGGCTTCCGGGCAAGTTGCTCCACTTCCCGGAGCCTCAGCTTCCTTACCTTGAACTTGGGCATGGCGAGCCCCCTTTGCAGGGTCATGTAAGGATTCTGTGGCTCAGCCCTTCTCTGAGGACACTCTGCACACACAGCATCTCATGTGCTTCTCCCTGTGAGGGGTGCATGTGAGTCAAGACGGGAATAATCAGCCCCACTTGGCAGATGAGTAAATGGAGGCTCGGGAGATGGAGGGGTTGCCTGAGGTGGCAGGACCAGCCAGTGACCAGCCGGAACTGGGCGCCCTGTGGTGCACCGACTCTGCCAGACTCTGCCTCCTGGGAAAACTGTTCATGTGTCTGAGGTGAGAAGTGAGTCCAGGCTCCTTTCCAGAGGAGGAGCCTCCTCCCTCTAGTGCAAATGACACGCTAATGGGATCATTTAAAAAGTATTGCTCGTGCCTGAATTCCCCAGTGACACCAAGGGACAGGCAGATGAGGGCCTGGGGAAGGGGCCGGTGGGCCTGGGGACATGCTCATCCAGTCCCTCGGCCACAGTCCGGCACTCCCAGAGTACAAGATAAACAAACTCCATTTCAGCTTTTCAAGAGTCCTGGTCCCAAGGGCCCCTCTCTGCCTGCTGGCTTGAGGCTTTATTCCACTCATGTCTTTTCTGATAACTTCATTTGTGCCCCAGAGACCTCAGACTTGTTTAAAAATAGAAAAATAAACAATATCGTTCCTGAAGTACCCCCTCCCCTCTTCGGGCCTCCTAATGAGGTGCTGGCCAAGCTGGCCGGGGCTCTGTTCCCAGGGTTTTTGACCCTCTGCAGGCCCTGGGCCTGCTGCTGCCTCCACAGGGAGGAGACGCCCTGCAGCTTTGGAGGGCTTCCCAGCAGCCCGAATGGCTAGTGTCAGAGGAGGCATTCAGCCACCTGCCTGCCGGTGTCAGCGGCCTCTGCTCTTCACAGCTGGGACAGCTGAGATGCGGGGACACATTCACCCAGGTGCAGAGAGGCAGGACAGGCCCCGCACAGGCCCGACTACAGAGAGACCTGTTGAGGACATTCCTTCTCCTCTTAGCTCTGGCCCCAGCCCCTCACAAGAGCCCAGGCCCCTTCTGTGTGCCAGGCACCGGATACAACTCCAGGATGCAAACCCTAAAGTCTCCTGGGCTCTTCAGGCTTGTCACCAAAAGCCCTGGAGTTGAACTGCAGTTTGTGTATAACCTCAGCTTTCCCCATCTGAAAAATGAATCCAATGATAGCAGCCCTGCCTACTTCAGAGGGTTTTTACGAAGACTGGATGACAGAATGGAGGTGAAATGCTAAAATACTCCAGGAAAGGGAGGGGGATTGCAGGCAGCATTCCCAGAAGCTGCCTGTGGAGGGAGGGCATGGCTGTGCCCTCTGAGTGGCAGGACCACCTGGGGAGTCTTTATGTGTAAGCTCCAGCCTCACACCAGGGGCTTAGAGGGAAGGTGGCTAAGAAACTGGGGTGCTCCACCTGCAGAAAGACTTGGGAAGACATACGTTCTTTACATCCTTGCTGGTGGGTGGAGGAGGAATTAGATTTGGCCCCAAGGGTACTGCTAAGGTGGATGGGAAAAGTGACCTTGGGGCCCCTTCTGTTGGTCCTAGGGAGGAAATTTCCTAACAGAGAGAGGAGGCTCAGTCGAGAGAAAGCAAGCTCCAGGTGCTGGAGGCCTCCAGGCATAAGCTGGGGGATCAGGCTCCGGTGGGAAAAACCCACTCTCCTAGAAAGCTGAAGCTGAGATGAGGAGGAGAGATGATGAATGCCCTTGCATCTGCTGAAAGTCCCCTAGGCCTTGGGGAAAGGATCCTCCTTCTCTCTCTTTCTGCCCAAGGCCAAATGCCAGAGGGAAGTGCTCCCAGCAGACCCACCCAGCATCTAGGGGAATGGAGGCAAAGGCCAGTGACCAAGACGTCACTTCTCAGGTGGCAGAAAACCCAGAGATGGGAGATAAGTTATCTCTGGAGATGATTGGAGCACCTACTGCCCTGGCCCCTGTTGATGCAGAACCTCCCCCTTGTCCCATACTCTGTAAACTGCCCCAGGGCTTAAGCCACCCCACCTTCAGGAAAGTCGTCACGGGGAGCAGCTGGCAGGGCTCTTGTGGATTGAGGACAGCTTCCTTCTGTGCATATGCAGTGCCTCGCTTGGCCAGCTGCTCCTGCTCTCTGTCTCTGGGCAAATGGCCTCCTGGAAGAGGAAGAATCACCGAGAAAAGGGAAGGCTCCCAGCAGGGCCAGGCAGTTGGCAGTGGTCCCACTTCTTGAGTCCCTTCCTCCTTAGAGAGGCCTCCGAGCCACCAGGGACCCTGGGAGGGGAGGGAGGCCAGGGAACCACTGTGCTTTTTCAGGCTTTCACGCCCAGAAAGTAGAAGCAGCACTGGGGCCAACAAGGCTCTTAGAACCCTGTAGAATAATCCACAAAAATGTCCACTGCATCCTAGTTACCCATCTTTGGCTCCATATTTTGGAAAGAATATGGAAAGGTACAGACATAGATGCTCTAAGACTCAAAGATGGTGCGATGAGCTGGGGCCATCTTCCACTGAACTTCCGTTCTTATTGAGCTCTGAGCTGAATAGGATTCCTGTCTCCTGCCAGGCCTTACAGGAGAAGAGTGCACATCAGCCCCTCACTGGGTCTGGGAGCCAGGAGTTCAGCTCTGCCTGGGTTCAGCCCTTGCCCTGCAGAGAGTGAAGCAGAAGAGAGAAGCAAAAGCTCCTGCCTCCAACCCCCTGGGAAGGAAAGTTGTTTTGCTTGCTTAGCAAATTGTCTCTGGAGTGCACTTTCTTTTTTAATTTGCTTTTTATTTATTGTTAACGTAGTATGACACCAATAAAATAAAATTTTAAGAAATCAATTCCTTAGCATCCAACGACCCTAACATAAATTTTCATTTTCTATTTTCTTTTGCCGTCTTTTCCCCTAGGCAAGCTTTATTTTATAATATCGTAGACATACATAGATACAATTTTATTCTGTGCTCTTTTCCATTAGGCATAAATGCTTTTTCTTGTTGCTACATAGTCTGTGTAATTATCATTTTGATGGCGCATAATTGCATTGAGTTCTGATTTACTAAACCATCTCCTCATGGCTGGACATTAACATTCTTTCCAGGGGTTTATTTATTTATTTGTTACTATAAATAATTTTGTAATAAACACCCTCATCTATTATTTTTCTCATTTTTTGAATTTTTTTTAGTTTAGACATCCAGGTTCTCCTTGGAGGTTTTAGATGGATAGAACTGTCCACTCCAAGAATTTGAACTACGCAATCATTAAAATGATAATTATACTGAGTATGTAGCAACATGGAAAAACCTTTATGCCTCATAGGGGAAACTGCACAAAATAAGAAACCTGGGCTTTGGAATATCCTTAACCCAAATCAGTGATAAAAGATGGAGCCCTGTGACACATCACTAGAGACCTCCCTCTAAGTTGACATGACTCCATAAAGGTCTCTTCGCATGTGGTTTTTCAATAGGCAGCTCTACCCTGTGTTATCATACAATCCATTCTCTCCATCCTCCCACGGACAGTATTATGTGAGAACTTCCCAGATGGACTGTGCTGACAGGCGCCACAGCAGTGCTGGCCCTGCAGCCCGAAGGCTAGGTTGCATCTCCTGCTGAGTGTGCAGTGGATCCTAGCCCCAAGTCTCCTCCACCTGCACTGCTGCCCAGAGGGTGCCATCCTGGAGGGAGAGATGCAGAAGTTCTCATCACTCCTGTGACAGGTCATCAGTTCATCTGGCCACCCCAGCAAATGCAGGGATTCACGGGGCATTTTCCACTTCTCCCCTTGCTCTTGCAGGAGCAAGCTTGTTCCTGGACTCTCAGCCTGGGCTTGTTTGCTAGCCCGGGAGTATGACACCCATGTGTATTTTTTCCATTGCAATGCAGCGTTTTCCTGGAAAACATTCCAGGGAAGGAGCTCAGGTTTGAGGGTCACACAGACCTGGGATCAAATTCCTGCCTTTCCTCTTATTTGGTTAAGTAATTTAACCTCCTCACCCCTCAGTTTTCTTAATCTATACAATGGACTTACTGCTATTGACTGCTTGGTTTCTTGTAAGGGATTAATGGACAAATAGATGTGAATTTGGCTGACACAGCACCTGATATACAGTAAATATTTAACAAGCACCAGTTTCCTGCCTTCCTTTCTGCCCTTCTTGGACCCGAGGGAAGGTATAGATAAGGTGTGGTGCCCAGAGGTCTGGGTACTTAATAAATGCCAAGGTAAATCATGGCTGGCTGGCAGAGCCCTTAGCAGGCAAGGGCAGCCTGATACTATTGGGGCAAAGTCCCCAGGATACAGGAGAGAGAAGAACAGAAAGCTGGGGGTTTCAAAAATCCAATAGTCCAAAATGTCAAGGACTGAAACATTAAAAGGCCTTTGAGTTGCTTAGGTTTAGACTCCGTTGTTTAAAGAGTCACTGAGCGTGGGGCAGTGGGTGGGCAGGGGGAGAGGCGGCTATTGGTGAGAGGAGGCTGCAGTGCGAGTCCATTTCTGTTTATATCAGTGGATTCAAAGTGAGGGACAAAATAGATCAATTGTTGCTTAGATGTGTTTGATAAAAGAGGAACTGTTATCTTGATGCAAAGATCTACAGCCTGCAGAGTTCACAGGGAACATGGTTCCCAGCGTGCCCTGTGCTGGGTGTCCCCAAACAGCTGCAAAGCAGCCCTGACACCATCTGAGAACCTCTGGCGGCTTACAAACAGGAAGGCTGCTTGTAAACAGTAGGCCGGAACCAGGAGGGTCGTGGAGGCACAGCGGGGCCCTGCCACTCCAAGCGGAACCCAGCCTGCTCCCACGAGAAGCAGAGGAGCGAATGTTCTAGGCAGTTTTCTAAGCTTCCGCTGCCTGGTCTGCCCTTGAGTGGGTGACTTCATCCTGTTAGTTACAGTCTCTTGCTTTGAACTAACTGCCTGTAAAGTACAGGTACAGATTGTGTTTTAAAGGGTTTTCATATTGGTTGTTCGGAACTTTGTTTGTGTTTTCCGTGGGAAAACGTATAAACTGTGTTTAAGTTCCCAGCCTGAGCCACAAGCATTGAAGCTACTCATAGTACAACAGCATTAAAATTGAGAAAATAACCTTGCGCCCAGACCTGGAGCCCTGTTGCGCCTGGGACCTTCCCGCCCTGAAAAATGGAGTTGAAATGGCTGTGAAATCCCTTCCCTCCTCCTCTCTGGCCCAAGAGCGTATGCGGTCCTCCCCTATCTTTCTGTTCTTTTGTCTGGGGTGGGAGTGAGGTTCACAAGAAGAGGGGCTCCTACATCTTCCTTCTGTTCCCTCTGCCTCCGTCTCCTGCATGTCTGCTTCGCTTCACATTCACCCAGACAAAACTCTCGGCCTCTTCACTGACATCTGCAAAAATTCCACTCATGTCAAGCACTGTGTGAATTTCGGTCAGCACCACTGAAGGCTGGGGAGAGGGAGGTGGGGAGAGGAGGGAGGTGGTCTCTGTAAGGGCCCTGGCTTGTAGCATTTGCATCCGCTGCTGCCTCTCCCCTTCCTCTTCCCCCTGCCCTCCTCAGCCTCTATCCTGGAGTGCCTGTAAGGGCCCCATTCTCTCTGTACTGGGCACCAGCTCCTGCCTCCACCCAGGCCTGTTCAGACCAGAGGGGCGTCCCCACTCACAGGACTCACCTTCCCCCACACCAGTTGTTTTAGTGTCAATAATAATCTTTTTCTCATTACCGTCGTAATTCGATAAAACCAGCAAAGCGGTAGAATAAAACTAGAGTCATCCATTTAACAACAGTGCTTTATTTGGGGCTCTGGGAGAAGTGGTTTTTGTCAAAAGGGCTGCGGTTGTCAATAGAAACATTTCCTAAAAAAATCTGGCAGAAATTAGAAGAGGGAAGCCAGTTAAAGGACAGGCTTGCAGGAGAGACAGCTCATCTCAGGTGGAAGTGACCATGAGCGACGAGAGAGCAAGAGAGGGAGAGGTGAGAAGAGGGTGGGCCCCGGGGTGGGGGTGATGTGCTATGCCACCTCTGCAGGGCCCGGCCACCCACGAGACAGGGGTGCTGGGGAGTGCAGGGAGAGAAAGAAGGCTTGGTGAGATCTGTGCCAAACCACTGTTTCCAGGTTGGTGGTTTGCACTGGAGTGAGGCTGGGTGTGGTCTGCGCTTCACACCACTTCTCCCCACAGCCCCCATCGCATCGCCACCCCTGTTGGGTGGCAGGCTCTGTCCAGGCAAGGATGGGGCAGCCTGGGAGTCAGCCTGACAGCATCTGGTGTCATGTCTCTGCCATTTAGTGGCCCTGGGAGTTCGATCAGGTCATTTAGTGGATGTAGTCTAAGGATTGTCCACGGAGAAACCCAGGCAGCTTATTCAGATACAGACTCTTGGGCCTTAGGCCTAGAGGTGCTGACTCGGAAAGTCTATGCTAGGGTTAAGGCATCTGAATTTTGTTTCAAATTCCCTGTGGGACTCAGACACACAGCCAATGTGTTAGTGCCTCTGTCATTCTCTAGCCTCAATTGCAGAGCGAGGTGAAATGTAGGTAGGTACACAGCACGTGAGCCCCCTTCTCACCCCCTTCTCACCAGACCCACTCTCCTTTTTTTTTTTTTTTTTTGAGACAGAGTCTAACTCTGTTGCCCAGGCTGGAGTGCAGTGGTGCAATCTCAGCTCACTGCAACCTTCCCGTCTCCTGGGTTCAAGGGATTCTCCTGCCTCAGCCTCCTGAGTAGCTGAGATTACAGGCATGCGCCACCAAGCTCAGCTAAGTTTTGTATTTTTAGTAAAGGTGGGGTTTCAACATGTTGGCCAGGCTGGCCTTGAACTCCTGACTTCAGGTGATCCACCCGTCTCAGCCTTGCAAAGTGCTGGGATTACAGGCGTGAGCCATCGCGCCCGGCCAGAGCTGCTCTCCTTTGAGTCCCCTGGAGATTTCACGTGGAGGTGACATTCACATCAGCCTGGCTGGCCAGCCAAGCCTCTGGCCAAAGTCAGCATCTGAAGAGCCAGAACACACATTTCTGCTGCCCTCCGGCAGGCAGGGTGAACCCCTGGACACACGCTGGCCCAGGTAACAGCTTTGCTTGGAGCTCAAAATGAACAGCTCTACCAGAGCCAGGAGTGTTGGTGGTGCTGGTGGTGCTGATGGAGGACAGGTGAAGTGGGGTGGGGGTTATTCATGGTAGCAAATGTTTATCCGGGTCCTGGCAGTGCCAGGTGTTTTGCAAATATAATCTCATTCGAGCCCCACAAAACCCTGTGAACAAGGCTATGACTTTACCCATTTTACAGATGGGGAAATGGAGGTCACACAGCTTGTTTTGTTGTGTTGTTATCTAGGAATTTGAATATTGTTTAATGTGTTATAAGATATTGTAGAGTTGATCACAAGCTATTAAAAATGGTAATGTACAAACGTGGATAGATATTTATCTACAATACGGGTAAGTTTTGTTTCTCCTGTAATAGATGTTGATGAACAAGTGAGGGGACAATTGATTTTTGGTTATCTTTTTTGTTCTTTTTTGCTCGGGCAAGTTGCACTATTAAAATATTGAGATTGTATAAATATAGTCAAAAGCTGCAAGATGGGAAAATCTTGTAGATGTCAAATAAGAAGTCATTATACTAACTTTTTAGAGTCAATCTGACTCCAGAGCCTCTGCTCGCTCCACTGCCTACCCCAAATCTCCCACAACGCAAGACCAGGCTTCTAGGTGGCCCCCAAAACCTCAGGCCTGCAGTCCTTTGAGCTCCACCTAGGAGAGGTAGTTAGGGCAGATGGCTCTTTGGGAAGTTTCCTCCAGGGAGTGGCAGGTACCTGTTGGCCTGGAATCTGGGGAGGACTGGTTTGGTGGGTCTGAGTCAGGTTCAAGCCACATGATCCCATGGCTGTTTAATAATATTTAACATTTTTACTGCCTTTCTTCCCTATTTGTTCCATTAGCGATCCGCCTCCAGCTGCCGGCAGGACACATCCTTAGCCTGACCCTGCCAGCCCATCTGTCACTAGGAGACAGCTCCCATTTGAGCCTCTCTGTTTTTAGACTTCAGGAAGGTTGAGCATCTCAAACACAGGGGCTATCCCTTTCTTATAAATAATTAGCAGGAAAGATGCCTCCAGGGCCCCGGACAATAGAGGAAGTGCATTCACCTAAATAAATTTCTCACCCTCCATGCTCCCTGGACCCCAGCGCCCCAGAAATGAAAATTTCAGGGTTCTTTCTACCTGGGGAGGGTCATACCAACCAGCTAGAGTCTCTGAGGGGTTTCAGAGTCCAAGTTAAACCCCACTGCTGCCTTCTCCTCCTTCACATTTTTATTCCCTGGAAGGGAAAGAGACAGCTTGAGGGGCGCGGGAGGAGGGGGGAGTCCTCTGGCCCTGCCTCTTTTCTCATTCCCCTGAACAGCTTTTCCCTGAATCCTCCACCACATCTCCCTCCCTTCTGGATTTGGCCTCGGCTTTGCTCCCCTCTGTCTTCTTCCTGGTTTCTCCTTCCGAGCCCTTTGTCCGTCCTGCCTCCCAGCCTCACTGTCCTGTCCTAGCTCTTGTCATAGCACTTTGCGTGCGCTTGATTGAGATACTTCCCCACGCTGTCTGGTTCTGAAGAAACATCTGTAAGTGCCTAGGCTGAGTTTCTTGGAGTGCAGTGGCAGCGTCTGCATCATTTTGGGGGGCCCCAGGACTCAGCGCAGTGTCTGTTGCTCAGTACCTCACCCTGATGCATTTGCGGCAAGGACTTGAAGTTCAGACGATGAGCTTTGTGTCTTCATTCCCAAAGGAAGAAGCCACATCATTCGCCCTCCCCCGCGCCTCCCCCCTGCCCTTGGCCTGTTCTCTGAGTAACTGCGGGCTGGCAGGGTCATGGGACTCATGGCGATTCCTCAAACCCCGCCTGCATGGTAGGTGGGAGTGTGATTTTGAAACATTTTCTTGGGAAACAGTTAATTAAATGCTCGATGGAGTCAAAAGTAGCACTGTAGTTGGGCATTTGAATTCAGAATTTGAGTCCTGACCTTCGTTTGGCTAGTTGCTTTCCTTCTTTGGGCTTGAGCTGTTTCCTCTCTTTGTAAAATGAAGTGATAATATCGACCCTGCATTTGCAAAATGAAGTGATAATATCGTCCCTGCCACCTGCCTGCAAGGTCGTCACAGCCTGCACACAGTAGGTGCTCACTTGTTGGGTCTGTGAACTGACTGAATGATGCTGACCCAACACTGCCACCTTCTGGTAGAGATACTCTAGTGCTGAAGGGTGAATCCTGGTTCAGACCCAGAACTAGGAATTCCTCCTAGGCAGTGAGATGAAGGAAGAAGAGCCTTCCCTGAAAGGGCGTCCACTCCCCTGTTCGCAGGTGAGTCCAGCAACTTCATCTACCTGTGGCGTCCAAGTCACCGTGGGTGGTGATAAGCTCTTCCATTTCCTCCGGGCAGCCACTTGCAGGTAGCCCAGGAGCACAGGGTGGAATGGGTTCCACCATCCACCAGCTGATACACTTTCCCCCGGTGACTGACTGCCAACAAGGGGTGAAGGACATTTTTTTTTTTACTTGAACAAACATTAAAAACCTTTCTTTTTTTAAAAAATTCAAGCATTTAATGCTATTAATTTCCATGTATACATTGCTTTCACTGAATACCACAAATTTTCATATGTTATGTTTTCATTTTCACTTAGTTCAAAATAATTTCTAATTATTCATGATTTCTTTGACTTTGAGGGTTTTCAAGAATCTTTTTATTATTGATTTCTAATTTAATTTTGTTGTGTTCAAATAACATTTTCTGTATGCTTTAAATCCTCTTAAATTCATTGAGATTGGTTTTATAACCCTGAATATGGTCTATCTTGGTAAATATTCTAAGTACACTTGGAAAAAAATGTATATTCTGCTGTGTGGGGTGGCGTGTTCTGTAAAATATCAATTGGGTCCCGTTGATTGGTAGTCTTTTTAAGTCTTTCATATCCTTAATGATTTTTAGAGGTCCTACTTGTTCTATCAATCATTGGATGTTAAACTCTCCAACTATAATTGTGAATTTGTCTTCTTGAAAAGGATTCAAAATGAGGGGAAAAACCCTTTATGTTTACTCACCTACTTATGATTTCTAATATTCTTCATTCCTTTGTGCAGAAACAGGCTTCCTTCTGGAATTTTCCTTCTGTCAGAAGGACTTCCTTTTATATTTTTTGTAGCTCTGGTTTACTGCTGATGCATTCACCCAGGTTTTGTTTGTCTGGGGGAAAAAAAGAGTATTTTGTCTTCAGATTGGAAAGGTATTTTTGCTGGGTATAGAAGAGTAGAATAAGAGACTTTTTTCTTTCTCTCAGAGAGTAAAATATATCGCTCCATTGTCTTCTGGCTTGCTTAGTTTCTGATAAGAGACCTAGTGTCATTTTTATCTTTGTTCCTCTCTACCTGTGTGTTTCCTGCCTCTGGAGAAAGATTTTTCTTCTTCTTTTTATTTATATTTTTTAAACAGGGT